>NC_000002.12:30423126-30575876 GCF_000001405.40 Homo sapiens | reverse complement strand
CTATTGAAGTCAAGTGGTACAGAGAGACACGAGGTTGCAATAACTATCTGTTTAACACCATATTAGAATCTGAAACTCACTGAGATACAAATAAAGGAAACATTTAATTAAGAACCACATTTCCATATTGAATTTTACATGATCACATGCCAAGACCTTATTCATTTAAGTTACCAATAACGTGTTTCTGTAATTCTCTTCCAGTAGTATACATAATCTAGAAAAAAAATGTACTCTTTTATCCTCCGGTAGTTAAAAAAAGAAGAGAGTGTCTTAAGATAGTTATTACCTGCTGTGCATCTGCCTCAGGTGGCCCTCTGGCACTGCCATAAATCTCATCTCTGTTGCAATGAAAGGACTCCATATAAATTAAAATCTGTAAGTGTGATCACTAGACTGAAGGGGGTGGGAAGAATTGCTAATCAGATGTGCATATGTGTGTATGCGAGAGATGCTAAAATTAGGTCATCTTTAAAAATTTGTACCAAACTATAAATTTATTGAGTACCTATAATATTCCTGGCATGGTATTAGGACCTCAGATATAAAAACAAATACGGCACAGTATCTCTATCCTAAAGGAGCTCAAGTCCAATGAGAGAGATGGACAAAAAAAAAAGGCCACCAAAAAACTACTGGTTATTAACAGAAATGTATAGAGTATGATGAGAATAAGAAGAGGGAACTCCAATAACCTGGAGAGGTCAGAAAACTGTTTGAAGTGGAAAAAACACTTAAGCTGTCTGGAGGAACCAATGGGAGCTAGCCAGATGAATGGGAACAGTTTGGGAGAAGACACAGTCATGTGTCCCACATGACTGGAGTGAAGAGAGGGCATGAAGTCACAGCAATAAACAAGACCAAAAGAGCCACACAGACTAGGACCTGAGCTTTCAACAATGGTCCACTTACTATGTGCAAGCATTGCAGAGGATACGAAAAACACATACTCCTCATTGTTTTCTAAGGACATGCTGGCAGACCTCTGTTTTGAAGGAGGCCTTCCATTCATGTGTGAAATCTCAGTAAGCTCTTCAATTTCCCTTAGTCTGACTCCTAGATCCACTTACTACTATAGCTCTTGACTCTGCAGCGCTTCATGACACAAAGTATCTGTAGAACAGATGCCTTACAAAGAATAATCAAACTCAGTGTGAACTAATTGTCATCCAATCCTCAGTGAGTGACACTTTTTATGGAGAATCGTCTGAAGGACATGCAGTCTACCCGTACCTTTAGAGTTGAGACACTCTAAATCCATATAGAGTCTGAGTGTTTTGAGCTTTTATGAGACTGCTCTTTCTCATGTAATGGAATGTGTTTATTCCATTAGCCAACATGGACAACCATGATGAGGCTATGTGGAGTAGTTCTAAAAAGTTCATTATATTTCCCATAAGGATGCTGTTCAGGATCTTGGTCATGAAATGTACAATGTGCTCTTTGTGAAGAGCCATGGGAGATATTTCAAGTCTTTCAAAAATGCTTCTTCTAATCATCTGGCTTGCTTTGATCTTATAAACACTGTCAATAATACTTTGGTTTCCTTGTATAAAAGGTACAGAAAGCTCAGGGACAATGTTTGGACTCACATTATAAAGAAATGTAGAAACTTATAACATGTTTTGTAATGTAACTTCACATCTAGTTTTTAAAAAATTTACCCCTATTTTCCCTTACCTTGATTTCTTCTCTTACTTTTGGTGCTGCTATTATTATTATTATTATTTTTTTGAGACAGAGTCTTGGCTCTGTTACCCAGGCTGGAGTATAGTGGTGCAATCTCAGCTCACTGCAACCTCCACCTCCCAGGTTCAAGCGATTCCCGTGCCTCAGCCTCCCGAATATCTGGGATTAAGAGGTGTGTGCCACAATGCTTGGCTAATTTTTGTATTTTTAGTAGAGATGGGGTTTCGTCATCTTAACCAGGCTGGGGCACTGCTATTATTATATGATACAAATTTATGTTAGCCATTTTAAATCTTTATTGGAACACGGTATAAAATTACATTGACCAATTAGTTGATAGGCTCAAAAAATTTGAAGGGTATCTATTATTTGCCAGGCCCTGTGCTGAAGGCTTGAGAAAAAACAGTGAAGAAGATAAACAACTAAACAAGTGATACTATCGTAAGAAAAATTTACATATAGCTAGTAGGAAAAGCATTCATATAGGGAATATAAAGCAAGGTACCCAACCAAGCCAAAGAAAATCAGGAAGGCTTCCTGGATGAACTGTTATCTAAGGTGACATCTTAAGAGGATACCGTGGGGAAGGCTCAGCACACTGTGCAATCTGGGAAAGAAGTGTGGTTCAGTAAGGCTAGAACAAATGGTACAACTAGGGAGACAGGAGATACAGCCAGAGAGGTAGGTCATAGGAGGCCTGGGTAAATCATGTTAGAGTAGATTTAACCTTGGAATTCTGTGAGACCTTACTCCAGTACCTGGATACCTATCTCAGTGTGATGCCACCCTCATTTAGAAAAAGGCTTGACTCTCTGGCTACAAAGTGGAGAAAGGACTGGTTAAGTCAAGACCAGAGCTAGAAAGTCCAGCTGAGCAGCTGTATGATAATTCAGGGAACATACAATGAAGGCCCAGACCAGTATGGCACTGCGAATGAAAATAATTAATTTGAGAGATCCTTAAGGGGTAGAATCAAAAGGCCTTGTTTGGGATTTCACAGCATGTGAAAAGCAGAGGGGGGCGGGCCAACAATGACTCCCAGGTTTCTGGCTTGCACAACAGTTTCTTCTTTATTAATTTTCCAATTTTTAACAGTAAGTACATTCTGTTTTTACAATTAAAAACCTATTATCTATTTTTAATAAAAAATGAACCAGTATTGAGAAAAATCAAGTCATCAAGCTACTTCTGCAATTTGATGGCAAAAAGAAAGAAAACGATCGAACCACAATTTTTTTTCCTCTTTCAACCCAGGCTCTGCCAGAGAATGAAATCACAATTTGAAAGGACAGATAGTTTGAATGTCATTTTTTTTTAAAGATTAGAGAAATGGAGGAGGAACTGGTAAAGGCAGGAATCAGAAAAATAAAAGAGGCTTACAAAAAGAAAATCCTTTATATATATTTTTTCATTTAAACAGAACTCACAGTAGAGCCAAGGATATCAGGGAGAAATCTTGGAAATAGAAAAAAAAAACCTACAAAGAATAATTTTTTTTAGCATTTGAAAAACTGTAAGCTTCTTATACAGTGGAAAGAACATGAGCACTGGAATCAAAAAGACTTGAGTTTAAAGTTCCTCTGCTCAGCAGCAGTATGACCCTGTGAAAGTTGCTAAACGGAGCCAGGCTCCACAGGTGCAGCACAAAGCAAACTACCACCTAGCTTAGGTAGGAGAATTAGGGGATACGTATGAATGGTGAAAGAAGTAGCTATGAGTCTAGGTCCCCATCACCAGATTGATTCAATAGGTCTGAGCTTGGACCTCAGTATCTGTATTTTTAAAAAGCTCTATGGTTGATTCTACTGCATGGGCAAGGTAAAGAAACGTGCACAACTCAATACCTGGTACATAAGAAGAACTTGATAAGTGTTAGATGGTTGTTTTTAAGTACATAGATAGGGCTTCTATCCTTTTTCATTAAGGCAATCATGACTTTTTTCACTAAACACAAGAAGATCTGTCCTAAATGAGCAGCTCAGATTTTTCGCTGGAGGGAAAGGGGGCGAGGTGGGCAGTGACTAAAAGGAACAAAGAAACAATATGAATTCCCTTTATGGTCTAAAGCGATACCATGGCATTTGAAAATTCAACATGAAGAGACATCAAAGGTCTCTGACATGCGGTCATGCATACTTCTCCTGAGGCAAATTTGAATAATTTCTGCTTCATGATGTGCAGGTCACCAGGTCACTTAGGTGATCCAGGTGCTTATCCACTCATCAGTGTACAAATCTCATTTAGGTTTTGTTGCACTCTATCATGTTCCTTGTAAAATGGCCTCAAAAGAAAGTCAGCTACTAATCTACAAAAATATTTCCAAAATTGAGGAAATGGAAATTGTCTCAGAAAATATTCTAGCAAATGTCAAAAGTCTACTGTACAACCACATCTTATTTAACATAACGGAAGGTCTTATCCAATTTCATAGTTTCCAGCAATAAAAGGCTGTATGAAAAGGTCTGAGTGCATGATATATAATGCACCCAGTATTTCAGTAATTTGTCTGTCTTTCTTCCTTGCCTCCTAAAACATGCTGGCTGTTCAAAAGGGTAACTGAAATGCCACCCTGGGAGAGGCTTACTATTATAAATGCAATGTGAGCCAGAGATGGGTTTCTGTTGGTCACCTTTAGTCCTCCACTGTAGGCAGTAGACAGACTGGACTGTTAGCTAGTTGTGCAGTAAGCAAAAATCTAAGAAATTAAAATAGTCGAACAATGCTACTGAAGACTAAGCTGTCTATGATTGGTATATTGCTTTTATTTCCTAGGTAGCTATCAACTTTCTCAGAGCACATGAGAACTATTGTAGACAAACATGAGCGTCCCACAAACAAGACTACTGACACTATATATGTAACCTGCATGTTAAGTCAGCAATTCTCTCTCCCTGAATACAAACCGAAGAATTTGGTTCAGGTGTGCTGATCCAAATTACCTAGTGGGAATTTAATTTCTATTTTGTGGTTAACCCTGTATCCCCCTAGAGTAATAGTGGAAAGATTACATCCTTCATTCCTTTATATTCAGAATTTAAGCATATGAGCTAAGTATGGATTGAAATATAAACTGCTTTCTTTGAATTCAAAAACAAGTATTTCAAACCTAAAACTCAAATAAATCTATATGATGATCTCAAGTCTTAATAATACATGAGCTTAAAAATCAGAAAGCCAGGCTGGGCCCCTTTGTGAGTCTTAGATTCCCATTCTAAAAGGAACTCTGGACTAGATGACCTCTAAGATCCTCCTCACCTCCAATCACTAATGAAACTTTTTCTCTCTTTATTCACTTGAACCCCCAGAAATGAGAGTTGCCCTCAACTCCCCAACTGATGCCTCCTTAGCCTCTTCCTGCTCTGCTCCCCCGTTATCTCAGGCAGCATCACAACCACCTGCCTGGTGACTACCATCTCTCCGTGTTCTGGCCATTTAGCCTCTTTTTAAATTCTTTTCCTATTTAACTCTTTCTTAAAGAAAATATTCCAGCTCACTAGTGTTAGAAAGGTGCTTAATGATCTGGAGATTTTGTTAACTAAAATCATACTATAAATACAAGCAGCAACTAGTTACAGTAGAAAGAACAAGAGCTATTCAGTTAGACAAACTGTATTCCAATAATTTTGATGAGGTTCTTTACCTCAATTTCTGCTTCAGTTTTGCACAATGAGATAAATATTTATAACTACCATGTACAGTTGTTGTGAAGATGAATTGATCATAGGCATAAAACACACAGCATAATGCCAGGTACATAGTAAATGCTCAGTTAACGTTAGCTGCTATACTATTATAGTTATCCTCATCATATTTTTTATTTTTATTATTATAGTATACAAGTCCCATTTTATGTTTCTAACAAATAAAATCATCTAACTGTTGTTTTCTAACTGAAATAAATGGAATCATCTATGTTTCTTTTTACTGATACAGGAGGGATGTTGGGGAGACCAGCTGTCACAACTGGCAGGAAAAATTACATACTGTGGTTGTTGACTAGTGCCTGGAGTGATGACTAATATACATTAACCAAAGTTATAAATCAGTTTGCTACTAAAATATTTTCCAGATTTCAAAAGAGAGCTCTATAGATTGTTCTATGATGTCAGAAATACCTTTAAAGGAATCATTAAATACTGTAAAATAGAAAAACATTGTTGAATGAGAAGGGTGAGTCTAAGTTACATGCCATAGTAAATGGTATCAAATTAAAAAAAAAAGCATCACTGCTTGAATGTCTTCGTGCCTCTCCACCCCATTCCACAGGCATGAAGAACTGTATTCTCCATGAACTTCCACGGGTAGATGGGCACTCACTAATCACATACAACATGAATATCAAGTCCACAAGTCCATGTTATATTAGTTGTAATCACGGAATTGCAAAAGCAAACCAAAGTAATATGAATAACATTTTTGGTTTACCATACCATGTGATTTTGAATTGATTGTGAACCTTTCTTTAAATCATGGGTACTTGGTTATAAATATGCTTCATCTTGGCAGGTTATACTTTTTATCTTAAAGTATATTAAATCCTAAAGAGAACAACAGTGATGCCATTTAGGGAAAGAACTTCATACCTTTTCTTACATAATGGTTCAAGACTTTTCATGTTATGCACAACAGTTTTATGAAAATATATCAGTTACCAGATGAAGGTGACATTTGTCACAGAGATCACCATTACACAATATGGCTTACTGGAAATCAGAGTGAAGAGCAGAAATGTGCAAACACACTTCTGTTAGTTGACTGTGGGCTTTGAACTGTTATAAAATTAACACTTCAGTATGTTTCCGAATAGTTACCTTTTCTTCATATATGTGTTATTTGTATGTACAAATGTGTATAAATATATAAACTTGCAAATATGCAGAACTATAATTAAAAAGTACAATTGGTTTTTATTTACATCAAAACCTAAGCATTTAAATGGGTGCGATATCATCAACGGAATCACTTTCTGCTCATATATGCCCCTGAATAGACACAGTTTGAAAGAAGTGTGATATGAGCCACAAATTAGGAAGCAGAAGAAGGTTCTATCCCTGACTCAAGTAACCTGTGAAAATGTACTTACCGCACTGGATGCCAGTTCTATTTAACTATAAAATAGTAGAGGTAGTGGCACTTGCCTTCCTACCAACCAGTTACTTGGTGGACTGAGTGAAATAATTAAAGTAAAATTATTTTTCAGATCGTTATATTTCTCTATAGCTTAAAATAGTAAGAGAATGATATATTCTCAAACCCTAAGAGCCAAACATATGGTTAGTTTAAGTGATAAGATTTTTTTTCTCTTTTTTTTTTTTTTTTTTTTGCTATTCATGATTACTAGAGAAATGGATTAAGTGACAAGATACTCTTAAGACATTTTTGGCCGGGCGCCGTGGCTCACGCCTGTAATTCCAGCAGTTTGGGAGGCTGAGGCTGCTGGATCACGAGGTCAGGAAATCGAGACCATCCCGGCTAACATGTTGAAACCCCCTCTCTACTGAAAATACAAAAAATTAGCTGGGCGTGGTGGTGGGCACCTGTAGTCCCAGCTACTTGGGAGGCTGAGGCAGGGGAATGGCGGGAACCTGGGAGGCAGAGCTTGCAGTGAGCCGAGATAGCACCACTGCACTCCAACCTGGGCAACAGAGCAAGACTCCATCTCAAAAAAAAAAAAAAAAAAAAGAAAGAAAGACATTTTTGCCACTTGGAGAAATATCCTAAAATGGAATTATAGCCTAACTCTCTATATACAAACATATATATATATGTAATATAGAGTTATGTCTGTTCCAAAAAAGGGGAAAGAATTTTTTACAGAGATCTCTTCTATATCTCTAACAAATACATGGCAAAACATTTTAGTACATAGGCCAACTTGGAATAAAAATACAATATCTCATTTCTTGAGACAAAGTAGTAAAAAATCCTTTACAAACTCTAAAGGGCTATATATAAAGCTTAGCAATTTTTGCCACTTTTATTAAAAAGTACATTTTGAAATGGGTGCTTACCTTCTCTTAGACGGTCTACCACAAAAGTAAAGCCTGTAGTTCTTGGATGTAAAACATATTCATATTTCTGAAGTCCATTTTTTTCAGCAAATGCATTACTTCGAGACTTGCTGTTTTCTAAACAAAACAATGGACCATTATAAATCATAAACTAAAGGGAAATAAACAAGGTAAGGAAAGAAGTGCAGAATTTTTTTTGATAAAAAATAGCTGTTAATTATTCTCTAATTACTGAATACTGAGTCAAATGAGAAGATACAAACATTGCAGATGGTCCATTATCAAGATCCCAGACCTACTTATGTAACCAGACCCAGGTTTGGCTATTTGCTGCTCGAAAGCCAAACACAAGAGGCCAAGTTTGGTGGGAGGGAAAGCAGGTTTTAAACAGAGAGCCAGCAAACTGAGAAGATAGTGAACTAGTGTTCTAAAGTCCCATCTTAAGTTTTAAAATTTATCATAGTGTTTTTAAAAGGAAACTTGCTGTAGGAGATGTTTGAATGGCACAGGGTCTGTGTGTCTTGTTCTGATGGCTGTCTCGGGTAACTGCCCATCCGGAGGTCCACTTGGCATTACTTTGACTTTAGCCTGATGGTAGTGGACTAACTGTTCATGACTCCCCCAAGTGGGAGGGTTCCACAGGGCCTCCATGCCTGGTTTGTTTCAAAATTAGCCCCTGGAATTTCTAAGCAAGCATATAGTAGATAAGCATACATGGTGCAAGGAAGTGTCTAGTGGAAACAGAAGGAAAACAGAGTTTCAAAGTACACTTCGAGGCTATATTCTAAGACTAAAGAAAAAAAGTGTTAAAATGCATTTCAAAGCTGAGATGCTCGGTTATACTTACTGAAATTAAAAAAAATTATAACAAAGGCATAAATCGATTTTTATACATTTTCTGAAATTCATATTCATATCTTTTAATTTGTTTAAAAGATTTCATGAAAGTCAACATTCAATGAAAATTAAAATGCTAATAACTAAATTTTTTTATAAAACAATCCCTATATAACAAAATTGAAATATTAAAATATAAAATGCTAATAAAATAAAACTAAGACACTAACAAAATACAATGACCTAGACATCCAGAAGAAATAACTAGCAATCAAATATATCAGATCAACATTCTTTAAAATCCAATAATTTAGGCCTTCAATGTGAACTGAAATATCTGCCTTGCTCAGGCACAGAGTATGTTAATATTACTAACCCAAACCGCTCCATAACAAAATGGGCACATGATTAGCACATCATGTACAAATATCTGAACATGGTTTGGCTGAATATAGTTACGGAGTCAAGTACATGTTCCAGTTGTTGGCAAAACCTTCTTTTTCCATTCCATGAGGTAACTTTACAAGTTCCAAGAAGAACCAAACCCATTATTCAGCAAATACATTTGGAAAAAGTAAAGTGTTCAGAAATTTGGCCTCAACTGCTGGGAGAGATCATGAAATACTTTCTGATGACAGCAGATGTTAGAACCCGCAATCCTCAGCTGCATTCCGAAATTGATAAACTATTATTCCAAGTCACAAGAAAAATATCTATATCGACACAACTTTACTAGGAGTAAATTTAAGATCACGGAGTCCTCAAAGTCTCCAAAAACCATAGACGACTTCCACAACACTGAAATATTCAAAGAACACTCCTATAGAAGGTGTTACATCATTTTATGATAAAGGAATTGAGCCGGGCAAGTCAAAAGTAAAGGCCCTACACATGAAGAGTAGTAAGTTCCTCTCATATTCATTTGAGGATATCCTGGGCATGGGGCTACAAAACAATATTTATATTATAGACAGCTGACAGGACCTTAAATGGGATTAGGAATCCCATAGACACCACAAAGATGAGTAGTAACTACCCTTTAGTTTGGTCTTTCAGTTTATAAAACTCTGGGGATTCTGAAAGCAAAACTGAACTGTTGTAGAATGTGAGTACAAGTATAAACAGCTCTAAAACAAACAGTCACAATGTGGGACGGTAAAAATGATCAGAAATACAGAGAGATTAGAGATGTAGACTTTTCCATCTACCCCCTACTTCATCTACTCATCCCCAGACTCTGTTATTGCACTAGCATCCCACTTTCTGACCACAGCCTCCTGTCTTGTCACGTTACTCCCTGTAATTCTCCCACTCCTACACTCCTTCCGCCCATGGGACTACTAGCAGCTATTCTCAAACCAGCTGGGCATGTTCCCACCTCAGGATCGGTGCAGTTGCTGCTCCTCCCTTCACCCAGAATGCCTTTCACCCATACAGCTGCACGCTTTTCTGCTTTGTTCATTTAGTCCCTACTTAAACAGAAACTTAACAGAGAGGCTTTCCCTAACCACCTTAAACAAAACAGCACCCTACACCCCTTCTATGACTCTCTCTCTCTCCTTATCCTGCCTTATTTTTCTGCATAGCACTTATGACTGACATATTTTTATTAACTTATTAGTTTATCATCTGTCTTTCCTCACAGAACGTAAACTTCGTGAGAGTAGGGATAAAGATCCAGGCACTCATATATGTATTAAAAAGAATAAGTTTTATGTATATAGGTGTTATGTTATATGCAATAACATAATTGTTAGAATCTTTCCAAATCAGGGAAATGGAACTCAAAATTATCACATACTAATTGTGATGGCTAATTTTATATGTCAACTTTAATAGGCCACGATACTCAGGTATCTCATCAAATATTATTCTAGATGTTTCTGGGAAGGTATTTTTTAGAAGAGACTAATATTTAAATTAGTAGACTGAGTACAGCAGATGACCCTCCACAATGGGAGTAGGCCCCATCAAATCAGGTGAATGAAGACCTTAACAGAAAAAGACAGAAGTGCCCTCCTCTCCCCAACAAGGAAGAAAGAATTCTGCCTCTAGACTGCCTTTGGCCTTGAACTTCGACTACTTCCCGGGATCTCCACTCTGCCACCCTACCCTACAGATCGTGGACTTACCAAACCTCCACAACTGTAAGAGCCAATTCCTTAAAATAAATCTCAACCTCTTTCTATATATACACATCCTACTGGTTCTCTTTCTCTAGAGAACCCTAACTAATATGCCAATACAATATAGAACTCCCTAACCCAAGAATAACGAAGACATATGTATGGGTGCACATATGTCTGTGTGTGACCAAAATGACTCAAAAGAAATGGACCAAAATTAAAATAGTGTTCACTTATGGGCAGTGGGATTATAGCAAGTTTTGTGCATACTTCTATGTTTCCAAATTTTCCCAAATTAACATATATTGCTTCCATTAAAAAGTTATAACCAACAATAAAATATGAAGATAGAATATATGTAAAGTTAGATTTAAATGCACTAATTTAAATGTACATGCAAGCTAGATTCAGGACTTAAATTATAAAACAGTCTCACTGGGCTGAAAAACCCAGTTTAAGGTTAAGTATGGTAGTAACTAAACACCTTTTAATTAACAGATACTTTTTCCAAACTGGAGATATTTTGTTAGCCTATTTTTTAAAATGATTTTTTACCAACTCAATAAAATTATCTGTATTCTACTGTTAAAAAAATGTTTAAAACTTCAGGATCAGTCTGTTTTTTCTCCTTGGCAAAGTCTAGCTTCAAAGGTAAACATCATTTGCATTTAAAATATATATGCAACTACATCATGTAATGGTGAGCACTATGGACTCCAAAATTATGCAACTAGATGGAGAGTTCATCACCTACAAAAAGAAACCTGAGAACAAATACAGAATGAAAAAAGTTTTACATATACATTTTATGACTCTGAAGGTCTAATGTATGAACATATTAACACTAATGTAGCAGTAACATATGACCTTTCTTTCATTAGTTTTTATTTACCAAATAACTTTCAAAGTTGGCATTCTTTGGTGTACATTTTCGCATTCACAAATATAAACCTATCATTTCAGTGAATGGCTTTCTATACTCTATATTTATTAAATAAAGCTGATATTTCAATATCAAAATTTAGGTATTATACATTCTAAATATTATAAAATTTAAATATGGCCACCTGTCACTTATAATTTCCTAATGATAATTTAGTTCTGGAAATCAACTTACAACTTACAATAATATATTTTCAAGCTTCAACAAGCAGCCATTATTATCCTCAGTATTATCCTCTGTGATCCAACCACTTCTAGAATCTCAACTGTAAAAAATCAAAAATATACTACACAGTTGGCATACATTTTAGAGATCTGACTAGTATAAAAAAAGTGCCACCGTTCATTTAGCTCAGTTCCATCTGCAATAGATGTGTCAAAGATCCCTTCATTGCTACCTATAGTAAATCCTAAAATACCTTAATTTCCCTTAACAACCTATTATGGCTCAGTCACCTATTCACTTGCTTAAATATGTATGTAATGTCTATTTTTCATCTTGAACTCTCTTTTGTAATAATGAGTTCCATAAATTATTATGTGCACAGTATGAATAGTATGTTTATTTACCTGTTCTCCTCTCTTAAATTCCAAGGGTTGCCCTTCTTAGTCTATTACCAAAAATTTGAAAGTTAAGTTCATGTTCTACCTGCCCATACTACTACAGATTTTAGACTTCAGTTCTCTCCTGCTTCAGCCTGTCTTCCCTTACACAGCAGAGCTGTAAGATCCACTGAATCCTTCTCAAATTCTGCTGTATTTCTCTTGAAGTTATCGGGACTATCAAAGGTACATTTTAGTCTTTTGAGTCCAAAGATTCTACAGAAATACTTTCTGTCTAAGCTATGCCCCCACCATCACCCCTCCCAGTATCAACCAGAGCAGTTCTGCTTTTATCCATCTTATTATCTAACATCCTTGATAGAAGGCTTCATCTGCAAAAATAATCCATGGTTTAAAAAGTGTGAAAACTACTGATTTAGTAAGGATGACAGACTGTTGAGTATTTTGTTTTCAGTCTTTTTAAGACTTTCTTGAAATCCATTGGCAATTCCTGGCCTATATGGTTTAAAATCTGGTAGCCAGGTGTGGTGGTAGTATCGGGTGCAGTCCCAGACACTATAAGCTTGAGCCCAGGAGTTCAAGGCTGTAGTGAACCATGATCATGCCACTGCACTCCAGCCTAGATGACAGGCTCAAAAAAGAAAAAAAAAAAAAGTTTAATATTTAGGAAGGCCGAAAAGTTATAAACATGTCTTCCTGTGTCCTTGCTACAACTCAATGATGGCTGAGTTTTCTTGAAGAAGGGCAAAGCTATTCCTGCTTGTAGCAAGGATAGGGCTTAAATATCAGGAGAAAGGTAACCTATTAACGTAAATCAACAATAACTGAAATTAGTTACTATCAGATCTTTTTCTTATGAGGAAGACGCTGAGGAGTAGGAAGGGTCTAATGGATAAATAAATACCTTAGAAGAGGATAAGAGAATATAAACAACAGGTAGGGGAGGATAAACATTAACCTAAAACATGATTTTAAAATTACACTTACATAAAGATAAAAGCCTGATATTTTAAAATATATTCTGAGGCTTAAAATATAAAGTTCAAAGATGGCAAGTATGAATAATATGACCGCTTGGAGTTGCCTACTATAAATTCAATGGGCTAGAAACCAAGAGTTCTGAGTCCTGACATGCTATTGATTAACTGAGTGACCTTAGGGATGAGCCATTAATTTTTCTGTTTTGTTTTGTTTTGTTTTTTTGAGATGAAGTCTCGCTATGTAGCTCAGGCTGGTCTCAAACTTCTGGACTCAATCCATCTTCCAGTCTCAGCCTCCTGAGTAGCTAGGATTCCAGGGATGGACCACCACACCTGGAAGAGCCATTATTCTTGTTGGTGTTCAGTTACTTCATCTGAGAAATGAGAAGTTTAGACTACATGATTTCTAACTTTGCCAAACCCAGGCTACATTACCTGTGAGATCAGTCCCTTCTGGGAATATGAGGAGTTGAAGTGGTTCGTGAATATCACAAAAGTAATCAATCATGTCTTCGAAATGGCTCTTGTCATCCTTCCATTTCCTATGAATGAAGATATAGGCAGCAGCCTGCATGGCCCAACCTAGAATCAATTTAACAATAAAATTTACCTATAATTTTATTGCCAATATCCACATATTATTGAATACAATATTTCAGTTTTCTGGTTTTACTATATATTATTTATTATTGTAAACATTTCATGATATAGCATAAATTCAGCACTGATCTTGGGTTAAATAACTAACATATATATAAGAGAATATCCTAAAAGAGATTTGGTAATCCTGAGGTTTGCAAAATTCTCAAAATTATCTTTTCAAGCGAAAACTAGCTATTAAAATATTAAGGAAAGAATTTTTCCTTAGTATTTATCACTAACTTATCCAAAATTTTAACAATCCTAACTAAACAGATATTTTAACCAAGATATCTACAGGAGATAAAAGAATGTGTTCTGACAGCTTACAGAGCAGTAAGCAAAAGACTGTCGTCAAGTATATAAGCATTCTCTTTAATATTTCCCTTCTGATACCACTCAAGTCTCTAAATCCAACTGCTATTTTCAATGTTAGCCACTTTCTATGTCATTGAAAAGAAAAGGGAAATTGTGCAATGGTACTAAACACATTAATCAGAGTGTACACTATGACTACATTCCTTTTCTCTAGGGCAAATCACCCTTGCTCTTTGAAGAGAGAGCCCTAGATGTGCCATGTTTTAGATGACCAGCCATCTCCCCAGCCACAATGACCAGACTACTACAGTAGATACCTAACTGAGGCAATCAATCCAATAGTCTGTCCAATAGCCCACAAAGCATGAAGAGCATGGACAAACACAGGAAATACCTAGGCCAACCAAATGTTCCCCCTCAGAAATTTCACCTAGGACCACAGAGAAACCAGACAAGTTGGTAGGATACAGTCAAATGGACAGACCAAAGAGCAGAGGGGCTGAGGCAGGATAAAAATAGCATACAAGAGGCCGCGTGTGGTGGCTCATGCCTGTAATCCCAGCACTTTGGGAGGCTGAGGCGGGTGAATCACCTGAGGTCAGGAGTTCGAGACCAGCCTGGCCAACATGGTGAAACCCTATCTCTACTAAAAATACAAAAAATTAGCCAGGCGTGGTGGCAGGTGCCTGTAATTCCAGCTACTCAGGAGGCTGAGGCAGGAGAATCGCTTGAACCCGGGGGGCAGAGGTTGCAGTAAGCTGAGGTTGCACCATTGCACTCCAGCCTGGGCAACAAGAGTGAAACTCCATCTCAAAAAGAATAAATAAAAGCATATGAGAGTGAAGGGCAAAAGCCCCCCAAAGCTGACTATGATTCATAACAAAAGACAGTTTTAATCTCCACAAGTCCTAGCCAGTCTACGGATCCACCTCTTGGATATCCATGAGAATCCACCTCTCTTCCTGCCATGCAGGAATAGAGGAATAATAAACTCTTATTATTTCAGCTGGCAGTTCCTTGCAAACAAAGAACGTAACTAAGACAACAGCTATCATCATTTGATAAATACAACAGAACCCTGATAATACATATACATAATCATTAAATTATTTACCAGTGATTAAATACACACATAGCCAGGCATGGTGGCTCATGCCTGTAATCCCAGCAATTTGGGAGGCCGAGGCTATGGATCACCTGAGGTCAGCAGTTCAAGACCAGCCTGGCCAACATGGTGAAACCCCATCTCTACAAAAATACAAAAATTAGCCAGGCATGATGGCAGCTGCCTGTAATCCCAGCTACTTGGGAGGCTGAGCGGGGAGAACTGCTTGAACCTGGGAGGCAGAGGGTGCAGTGAGCTGAGATCGTACCACTGCACTTCAGCCACACAACAACATAGTTGGGCAATGGAGCAAGACTCCGTGTCAAAATAAATAAATAATACACACACACACACACACACACACACACACACACACACACACCACACTTTATTTGGCCTGGGTAAGTCCAAACTAGAATACTGTATTTTACATATATAAATAAGCATATACAAAAAAATTCACTTCAGTGTATAAGTCTTGCTGATAAGCATCCAGTTACTAGTCACTATAATATCAGTCTCATCCACCAATATTGGACATGACTGTACACTGCCCGCTCCCACACATCTGTCCTTCATCTGAGGACACTTAGGCCCACAGAGCAGTGTGTGTAAGTAGTATAGCTCTGGAGTGAAACCACTACAAGCCAGCTGTTCACCCTTCAGACTCAAATATAAAATGAGCACAATGCAACAGTATCTACCTGAGGGGGATTGATGAGAGAAACAAATAAGATTATTTAGCACAGAGTGTTCAATGGGTAGCTATTATTAATTAACAAGTTACAATAATATCAAGAATATTACATCAAGGATTGTAAAATGTAACAAAAGAGTTCCTATTCACAACAGCAAAACCAAAATGTGCAGAAATAAACCTAATTAACTTGCAAGAGCCACATGAAAACAATTACTTAACTAGAAAGAGATGAAGAGATTATACAATGTTTTTGAACTCAACCAGTGATGCCAATGATCTCCAGTGAAAATTTCAATAGCATGAGGGTGTGTGAGAATTTGGCTGACAAAGCCAAAAATTAAATAAAGCTATAGATTATCTATAATAATAAAAAGGTGAGAATATTCAAGATAACTTTGCAATAGAATAATAAGCAGGAAAGACATGAACCATTAAACAAGTGTATTATGAAGCAACAATGATTAAATCAAAAGTACACCTGCAAAAATAGGTGAATGGAAATGAATGCAAGACTTAGATAAAAGTCCTTGAATATGTTAAGGATTTGGTATACAATAATGACAGAATTTCAGATAAGTGGGTAATGACTGAGTTGGTGTTTTTTAAACATTTTTATAGAGGTATAACTTACAGTGAAGTGTGCGGACAGTAAGTATATATAGGTAGAGAGCTTAATAAATTGTCACATATACATATATGCCTGGCTATCACCCAACTAAGATATTGAACATTTCTAAAATACTCAAATGCTTCCATGTGTCCTATTTCCAGTCAATACTTCCCCTCCCAAAAGAAAACCAATACTCCAACTTCTAACACCACAAATCATATAAGTAGAATCACACAGTATATATTCTTATGTATTTTGCTTCTTATGCTCAATATTTCGTCTATGAGATTCATCCATGTTGTGTGGCAGTATTTTCTTCTTTGCAATGCCAGTATCAATGTAACTGCTGGTGTCAATTATATAAATATACCACTGTAGACCAATATACAGTTTATTTATACTTCTTATGAAGATTCCTTGTATATTAGGAATAAAGTTAATATAGATAATCTTGTACCTGTCTTTCGTTAAACCTGAGCACCCATTTCTGCTAAGTAGATAACCAGCAGTGAAACTGATGCCTCATAGGGTTTATGTCTGTTCAGCTTCAGTAGATAGCACCAGTTCTTCAAAGTGATTATACCAATTGCCACTCCCACTGAAAATGTATGATCGTTCAGATTGCTCTATCTATATTTTCCCCGACACTTAATCTTAGGAGTTCTTTTCATTTTAGCCATTAGAATTCATGTGTAGTAGTTGTGATTCACATTTCCTATACAATAATGCTGGACACCTTTTTTTTTTTTTTTTTTTTTGAGACAAAGTCTTGCTCTGTCACCCAAGCTGGAGTGCAGTGGTGTGATCTCGGCTCACTGCAACCTCCGTCTCCTGGGTTCAAGCAATTCTCCAGCCTCAGCCTCGAGTAGTTGGGACTACAGGCACATGCCACCATGCCCGGCTAATTTTTGTATTTTTAGTAGAGACGGGGTTTTGCCATGTTGGCCAGGCTGGTCTCAAACTCCTGACCTCAGGTGATCCACCTGCTTAGGCCTCCCAAAGTGCTGGGATTACAGGCATGAGCCACCACGCCTGGCCAAATGAGCACCTTTTCATATTCAAATTAGTCGTTCAGATTTCTTCATTGTAAAGTACCTCTTCAAACCTTTTGTGTATTTTTTTAATTGATTTGTCTTTTTCTTAGTTTTTAGGATATAAAGTCCATCAGGTATAAACACAGACACACACACATACACATATACAGAATATAAATATATACTCTTCTCCATGTACTTGTGTTTTCTGTGTCCCGCTTAAGGAATCTCTGCCTATCCCAAACTCATTAGGATGTTATTCCATGTGTTCTTCTATTAGCTTTACTGTTTTAGCTTTCACTAGTTCATGATTGATACATTTCAAGTGAATTTTTATGGATTATGTGAAGCAGAGGTTAAAATTGTTTGTTTTCTGAATGGATATTCAATTGACCAGTGGCAATTATTTGAAAGGCCAAGAGATTATTAATTTAAATAAAACATTTTAAAAGCATTATAAAAGAAATACATGTACTATAACAAAAAGTCAAATAATACAAATTTAAGTAGACTAAAACATAAAAATACTCCTTTATCACCACTTCCCTCAATCCTACTCTACCAGTCATAATCTCTTATTTGTAATCATGATTAAAAATTTGATGTGGGCAGGGCACAGTGGCTCACGCCTGTAATCCCAGCACTTTGGGAGGCCGAGGCAGGTGGATCACCTGAGGTCAGGAGTTCGAGACCAGCCTGGCCAACATGATGAAACCCCGTCTCTACTAAAAATATATAAATTAGCCAGGCATGGTGGTGCATGCCTGTAATCCCAGCTTCTCAGGAGGCTGAGGCAGGAGAATCACTTGAACCTGGGAGGCAGAGGTTGCAGTGAGCCAAGATTGTGCCATTGCACTCCAGGCTGGGCGACAAAAGTGAAACTTTGCCTCAAAAAAAAAAAAAATTGATGTGAATTTTTCCACTCCTTGAAAATTTGTTACATACATGATTGGTGCTTTTAAAAAACATGTTAGTTCCAGTTAAGACTGGTCATACACACACACACACACACACACACACACACACACACACACACACGATCATACCTTCTACACTGTCCTACAATGTGTTTATTTCATTGACCATGTCTATACATAGGGAATTACTTCATTTTATAAATAACTGCATTGTATTCTCTGTAGCAATTCTCAAACCAGTTTTCTCTTTTTAATTTTCCAAACTTGTATGAACTGAGTTTTGTGAAATACAATGAGTTAGTAGAAAAATAATCTCACACATGGATGTGGTAACAATGTCACATTATTATAAGAGTTTCTAGGCCGGGCATGGTGGCTCATGCCTGTAATCCCAGCACTTTGGGAGGCCGACGCAGGCGGATCACGTGAGGTTGGGAGTTCCAGACCAGCCTGAACAATATGGAGAAACCCCATCTCTACTAAAAATACAAAATTAGCCGGGCGTGGTGGGGCACGCCTGTAATCCCAACTATTTGGGAGGCTGAGGCAGGAGATCGCTTGAACCCGGGAGGCGGAGGTTGCAGTGCGCCGAGATCGTGCCACTGCACTCCAGCCTGGGCAACAAGAGCAAAACTCCGTCTCAAAAAAAAAAAAAAAAAAAAGACTTTCTAAATACTCTATTTCTGTTCTTATCTTATTGTGGAATATTAACAGTTTGCTGACTGGTATTGTTATACAAATCATACTTTAATAGCACTGCTCTACAGCAGAGATATACCCTGATTATCTAATAACCTGTTATCATTTAGGCTACACCCTGAGAATTTCTTGTCTTTATGATAAAAGTTTATGCTGTTCACATTTATTGGGATTTTTTTTTCTTTTCCTGATAGCTCATTTTATGTTTCCTGTTTCTTATACTCCCTTGTGGTTTTTTGCTCCCCCTACCCTGGTCCATTTTTCTCCCATTTTCTGTCTTAATTGAAATTAATTTCCTTTGTTCCCTCCCTTTGTTCTCTAATGTGGAAAGGAGCAAGCTATGGCCCATGGACCAAATCCACTCTGCTGCCTGTCTTTGTATATATGGCCCACAAGAAGAATGTTTTATGATATGAAAAAATTACATGAAATTAAAATTTCAGTGTTTATTTATAAATAAGGTTTTATTGGCACTCAGCCATACTCATTTGTTTATGTATATTGCCCATGGCTGCTTCATTGTTACCATGACAGAGGAAATAGGTACAACAGAGATAGTATGGACCACAGCCTAAAATATTTATTACCTAGTCCCTTACAGAAATAGTTTGTTGCCGGTCACGGTGGCTCACGACTATAATCCCAGCACTTTGGAAGGCCGAGGTGGGCGGATCACAAGGTCAGGAGATTGAGACCATCCTGGCTAACATGGTGAAACCCCGTCTCTATTGCCCCAGCTATTCCGGAGGCTGAGGCAGGAGAATGGCATGAAACCAGGAGGCGGAGCTTGCAGTGAGCCCAGATCGCGCCAGTGCACTCCAGCCTGGGCGACAGAGCAAGACTCTATCTCAAAAAAAAAAAAAAAAGAAAAAGAAAAAAAGAAATAGTTTGTTGACCCCTATTGTAGTAGTTTGGAAATTGTATACCCCATTTTCTTCTTTTAGAATTCGCCCTTAAAATTTTTTCACCCTTCCATTTTTGACAAATGTATTTAAACATCTAATTCTATCAACATTGGGTTAATAAATAATAACCCCCAAACAAAAAAGCATGCCCTCAATTCTATCACTAATTAAAGAGTTTAGTTTACATTTAAATTTCTTAACATAGTAATAGTATTAAAAAGGATATGCTTTCCTCTTGCCTTTCTTATAAGATTTGTAGAAATCACCCAACAGTTGCAAAAAATACTATTTTACTGCAACAGCAATTATATAATAATTACTGTATTATTATAACTAACACAATCCTTAAACTTGACAGAAACATTTATTATTATTTAGATTTGACCATAAGTTTGCGGGCTTCTTTGCTCATCATTTCTTCTTGTTGCCTATGTCTTTCTGTTAGTTCTCCTCAAAATAATTTCTTTTAAAAAATGTTTGAGTCTTTGCATTCCTGAAATGTATTTGTTTTGTTCTCAATTTTAGAGGCTAGTTTGGCTAAAAACAGCATTTTGCGGTTCCAAATCATTTTCCACTGAGAATATCAAAGCTATTTTCTATAGTTTTCTATCATTGAATATGGCTAGTAAGAAATCTAGCTATACAAATTTGTACAGATAACTAAGTTTTCCTAATCGGATAATTTATTTCTTTCCTCTGGAAGCTTTTATAATTTTCTCTTCACCCATAGTTTTATAGAAATTCATCAGTGTTAGTCTAGGTATGGAACTTTTTTCATTAATTCTGCTCAGCAGTTGATAAACTCTTCCAATATTTGAATCTTTCTTTAATATAGAAAACATTCCTTCTGTTTAAGAAAATATATATTTTTTTCTCTTCATTCATATTTTCAGCTGGAAGTTCTGTTAGATGTTAAAACTTCTGGATCTCTCCTCTCATACTTTTCATTTCTTTTGCCATTTGACAACTTTAAGGATAATCCCTTGGCTTGATCATCTAACTAATTTGTCAGCTACACCTGTTCTACTAATTTAGTTTATTTCAAAAATCATATTCTTAATCTTCAAGATTTGCAAATGGTCTTTTTCATAGCAGCCATTTTTAGGAACAAATTGTGTAATTATAATAAAAAGGTTTACTGTGTGCTTACTATATGTCCAATATTGTTCCAAGCATTTTTCATTAATTCAATTAATTCTCAAGACAACCTTATGAATTAAGTAAAATTATTATCCCTATTTTATGGATGAGGAAACTGAGAGACATGAGGGCTAAAGACATGGTAAGTGGTAAAACCAGATTTTAAACACAGGCAGTCTGACACCAGACTTGATATTTTTAAATCACGGTACTAAACAACCTCTCTGCATAGATACTTGAATCTTTCCACAGGTATTAATTACACATAGTTTATATTCTCCTTAGAGAATTATTTATTTGTCAGAGATTAGATTTTCCATTTTTTAGTACTAGATACTGTTTAACATTTTCCTTAAATGTTTACTAATCCTGCAGAGTCTCATATTTGTAAAGGATGTTCTAGACTGAACAATACTGACAGGTCGAATGTATTTCTGCATTGCAAGTGAGAATACCTCTTGCTCCCCATGTGGGATGGAAGTGGTAGCAATATCCATGAGGTTTTGCTATAAAACTTTTCTAATATTTTGTTACATATCTTCTAGAAACTCCAAGCCAATGTTTCTAAATCTTTTTTACTTCTTTTAGCTTAAATGTTTTTCTCTTTTTTTCCCGATAAAAAAATCACAGGAATACCTGGCAAGGGGTTTGGGTTTTTTTCCATTTGATTGTCATCAATGCAAATTGTATCCATGTTTAAAGTGTTACTCAGATTTTTCTTAATGTTAAGATCCTCAAAAAACACATTTTTATGACATTTATTTCATATTTCTATGAGCTAATGATAGCGCAACCTGTATCTTTAAAATCAGCATATATAATTTGTCTTTTTTTTTTTTGAGACGGAGTCTCGCTCTGTCGCCCAGGCCGGACTGCGGACTGCAGTGGCGCAATCTCGGCTCACTGCAAGCTCCGCTTCCCGGGTTCACGCCATTCTCCTGCCTCAGCCTCCCGAGTAGCTGGGACTACAGGCGCCCACCACCGCGCCCGGCTAATTTTTTGTATTTTTAGTAGAGACGGGGTTTCACCTTGTTAGCCAGGATGGTCTCGATCTCCTGACCTCATGATCCACCCGCCTCGGCCTCCCAAAGTGCTGGGATTACAGGCGTGAGCCACCGCGCCCGGCAATTTGTCTTTTTCATACTTTTCCACTGCAGGATATTCTGTCTTTAACCTGAATTTCTCAGACGAGGGCTGGGAGTCTGGCAGGTTTATAAAGATAGAATCTATATATACTGGCATAGCTCCACTACCACCATCTTCTTTCTAAAACCTCATTTACGTTATCAGCATCGCCTTCTCAAAGCAGTTGTAAATAATCCCTCGGCATACTCTATTGTCCAAACCTATCTCATCATTTTAGAACCTAGTTTTGACTTACATTCCCTTTTACCAAGTTTTAGCGTTGCCTAGGGGGAGAAAAAAATAACCATTTACTTGAATGTGTATTTTGGCATTATGCATTCTTAATAAAAAGTAAGCCTTTTCACAACTTTTTTTTTTCATTTCAGTGTAGATGAATATAGTTAACTGAGTAATGAAAACATCAGCACTACTCACCTAATGCTCTAATAACTCAATCTCAACAATAGGGTAAAATTTATCACTGCTGTCCTTGTAGTAACTCAATATGGCATCTACTATGGCACTATGAATATGACACCAGAAGAAAAAGCAGGGCGGAAGAAAGACAGACAACTGCTCCTTCGACATTATTTTCAATCCTGAATAAACGATGTGGATGCAACCACAGAAATGCTACCCATAGGCCTCTATTAAATGAGAATGAACAATAGGAACAGATGCAAATTTTATATAAACTTTTATCACAAAGATCATAAGAAAATACTGTATTTACTGAGTATGGATCTGTCCATAATTAATAGTAGTTATACAAATAAATCAGGGAGTTAAGTAACAAGTAGTTATACTTTTCAGAATTTCAACTTTTATTAGGGTGCTAAATGCTGGATAGATAAAGTTAAGGAAGATCTATCTTTTCTGAACTCACATTACAAACTGGGTAATGCTCTCCACATCCCTCTTCTAAGATGATTAATTTCCACGAAGGCTTTTAAAAACTCTGATGACAGGTAATTTTATGACATTTTTGCAGCAACAATCCTGTTGTAGTATGCCTGTATCATTAGGTTTCAAATGTGACTGTGCTGAAAATACAAGATAGAAATCAAAGTATAAAATATGAGCAAGTAATAATTACATAATACTCTAACAAACTTAATTCTAAATATAATTTCAAACTTGACACACCAAAAAGTGGAGAAAAATGGAGAAACCACTTGTACTACAAATTTCACTAGACTCCACAAACATAATCATATACACATGCAGACAGTAAAAATTCTTGCTTGACAATGAGGCTTCTTGGTCATGTTACAATTTTGGGGTTCATGTTAACATGAGAGAGACCAAACTCATCTTTCATATTATATGAGATTGGAAATTTGACCAATTTTCTAAATGAGCTATTATCTGAGATATTTCTTCCTGTTGCAAAACTGATTCCTAAGTACATTCCTAGCTTTGCACACTGAGAGGACCTATAATCAAAGACATCCCAGTAGCAATTAACATATGGTAGGCAGAATAATCATCCCCCAAAAGATGTCCACATCTTAATTCCTGGAACTGTGAAGGCACTGTGTTATACAGCAAAGGGGAATTAAGATTGCTAATCAGACGAATTTAAGGTAGTGAGATTAGCCTAGATTATTCTAGTGGGCCCAATGTAATCATAAGTGTCATTAAAGGTGGGAGAGAAACCCCATAAATATATACCTACTATGTACCTATGAAAATTAAAAATAAATTTTTTTTAAGTGGAAGAGGGAGGCACAAGATGACTTAGTACTGATGTGAGAAGGACTCAACCAGCCAATGCTGGCTTTGAAGCCAGAAGAAGGGGCCACAAGCCAAGGAATGTAGGCATCCATTAGAAGCTAGAAAAGGCTAGGAAACAGATCCCGTAGCAATCCTACAGAAAGAAACCAGTCCTGCCAATGCCTTGATTTCAGCCCAGTAGAACCCACATCAAACCTCTAAAACTGTTATATAATAAATTTGTGTCCTTTAAACCACTCTATATTTGTAGTATAAGCTGCAATGGAAAACTCATACAGAGCATAGTAAGTGCCTAGATTTTAGTTTCTCACATCATTCTTCATAAAAAAAAGGGATCTAGGGCTCCTTAGCGAAATGCTGAGTCTAGGGATGGGGCAAGGAAAAATACAAGATGAACCTGGAGAATTTAAAGTGCCAAAAAAATAAGTGGTTAAAAGAAAAAAGATGGTAGTATGTCAAAAGGACATAAGAGCCAACCTTCAGGCACTCCCAGGCTAGGCGCAGTGGCTCATGCCTATAATCTCAGCACTTTGGGAAGCCAAGGCAGGAGGTTGGCGTGAGCCCAGGAGTTCAAGACCAACCTGGGCAATGTAGCGATACCCACCACTTCTCTACAAAAAAAAAAGTTGTTGTCTTTTAAAATTTATTTTAAATTAGCCAGGCAAGGTGGCATGTACCTATAGTCCCAGCTATTAAGGAGGCTGAGGCGGAAGGATTGCTTGAGCCCAGGAGGTCAAGGATGCAGTGAGCTGTGAACGCACCACCGCACACCAACCTGGATGACAGAGCAAGACCCTGTCTCAAGAAAAGAAAACTCCCAATGGCCAAAGCTGGCCATTACTTTCAGCAGCAAAATAATGATAGTACCAGATTATAATCTAAAAATTAAAATAAATATCAATGAGTCCATATTGATATTATTAAATTACTAATTAAATAAATGGGGAGTAGGGGCAAATATTTTCCACAGAAGTATGAATAATATATATAAATAGTCTGCACTCCAGGAAGTAGAGCTTCATTCCTTTCCCCCAACAGCCAGCCTTTGAGTGTGGGCTGTGCTTAGTGGATTGAGTATGTAAATGTAAAGGGGAAAACAGCATCTTTGCAGTAAAGAAACCTGACAGATACCACCTTAACTAAGTGATTAAGATTAACATCACCAGTGATAAGCCATGTTGATATCATGAACCTCTGACATGAGAAGGGTACTCCACCTCTACAGTATTCTTCCCCCAAGCCTACAGCTCTAGTCTAATCACAAGAAAACATCAGACAAACCCAAACTGAGGAACATTCTACAAAATGTCCAACCAGTACTTTTCAAAGGCACCATGAAAAGCAAGAAAAGACTATCACAAAATGAAGGAAGACTAGGAAGATACAATGACTAAAAAGCAAGGTGGTATTCTCAGTTGGATCCTAGAACCACAAAAGGACATTAGTGGAAAAATTGGTGAAGTCTGAATAAAGTCCATTGTTAATAGTATTGCACCAAAATTAACCTCTTGTTTCAACAGATATACCATATAAGATGTTAACATCAGAGAAGCTGGGTGAAAAAGATAGGAAAATTCTCTGTACTGTTATTACAAATTTTCAATAAATCTAAAATGATTCCATATAAAAAGTTTACTTCAGAACATCTATTTGTTGATGCAAACTTGTGTTTGACTAAAAAAATACACAAATAATGGCCATTTTCCATTCAAAATCAAGGCCTAAATAATCTTACTTGGAATTCGCTTACTATACCATATTACTTGGTTGTAATAATTGAAGATTATCAGTAACAGCATTTCTAAAGATATAGTTTTGACATTATTTTCATTGTGGAAGAACATTTTTAATTCTTGGCTACATAATATGTCCCTGCCTGGTATTCATTACACAACAGTGTAACACTCAGAAACATCTGACTTCAAGCATAAGGAAAATATTTTCTGTAAGATTTGTTATATGAAATAAATGGAGAAAAGCCATATTTTTTAAATGACATATATAATAAATACAACAGCTAATTCATTTTCCCCCAGGTCTTACAATGTTGCCTTTCTCTTTTAAAATACCTGCACAATTTACAGATACTTAGCCCCAAGACAAAGAACAACTGAAGGCATGGAAGTCAAATTATCTATTAAAGTTACCAACTATGAGATACAGAGGGTTCATCTTGCATATCTTTTCTATTATTATTGCAAAGTGCCATTTCAAAGTTGGTTCAAAACTGATTATTATGTGATTTATTTCATTTGTGCTTTTCCACCAAATACAAAGCAGATTCAAAACCCTAAAGCTCCCTCCAAATTCTGAATTTCTTTCTACTGAAGTTACCATTATAAAAGCATATCTTTTAGATAATTTTAGAATGTAATTATTAATTTAAGCAAAGGAATTCCTCAATTTTCAGCAGACCTAAGGGTACTAAAAGTACTAGAGGTGAAATTCGCTTCCTAGCTCACATCTGGGATATCTAGCAGCCTAACGCAATGTAAATTTGCTGAGGTATTAGAAATAGTACACATCAACAGGATATCCAATTTAGGTAACCAATTGCATTAATGTCAGTAAGTGATTGATTAGATAACCTTAAAGCCCCCAGCCATTTCTCCTGGCCAAAGAAACTGTCAACTTCACACAGCTCAGGGCTTCAGCTCTGTTCAGAAGTCAGATAACACATTCAAAACAAAAGCTTCATTTAAGTTATTTAGATTTCAATGCCATCCTAAAAAATTACTTAGTTCTCAATGTCATTCTAGAAAGAAAGGTAATCCTGGTAAAACTGCCTGGCAGATGATTTAAATGAATTGAACCTTTCTTTTCTTCCCAATGGAAGAAAGTAAAGGCTAAGCTCTAATTTTTTATCTTGCCCAAATTCCTTTCTAAGGGATCTAGGGAGTCATGCCCTACAAACCATAAATTCTCATCACATGAGCTTTGTTTAACCCTGTATATTGTGACTTACTTTCCAGTCTTACTCAGGCATAACAAGGGAAAAAATCAAAATGTTTTACCCCAAAATATATTACCTTGCCATACTTTGAAATTGCCTTGTAAAGTTTTTTGTGGGAAAAATCCACATTATATAGATAATCCCCTTATCCCTTTATTTTCCTTCCTTTCTTTCCAGATCTAGGAGATAATCAGCTAAGAGCCAGACACCCTTTTAAATCTGATAAGAAACATTTTACAACCTGCTCTCTCTCTGAAGTTTGCTATCTGAGAGATTCCTCTGCACAAAAAAACCTGGTCTCCGCAATCCTTTACCTTAACCTAAACAATCCTTTCCATTAATCCCAGGTCTTCACATAAACTCGGCCAATTGTAAACCAGTAAATGTTTAAATTTACCTATAGCCTGGAAGCCCCTGCTTTAAGTTGTCCCACCTTTCTGAACCAAACCAATGTATTTCTTAAATGTATTTGATTGATGTCCCGTGGCTCCCTAAAATATATAAACCCAAGCTGTACCCCGACCACTTTGGGCACATGTTCTCAGGACTTCTTGAGGGCTGTGTTACAGGCCATGGTCAATCACATTTGGCTCAGAATAAATCTCTTCAAATATTTTACAGAGTTCGATTCTTTTCGTCAACAAACGTATATCCCCACTACTTACCACCCTCCCGGCCATGCATCAAAACTCATCTCGGCCAAGCAATGCTGGCAACCAAAACTACAAAATCAACAATTACCAAAACTTTATGTTTCAAATACCAATAGAATTGCTAAAATGAAATAATCTGTTATATATCTAAAAACAAGCAGAGATGTATGTGTGTCTTCCAGGCAACAGAACTAAAATATGTTTAACATATTCTACTTTATTTGATGGTTTTCATAAAAATTTTCATTCATGACTAGCATTAATAAAATTTACTGAACGAGTAAATCAAACAATGGATACATTTCTTATGGCTTGGTGAAATAGGGGAAAGCAAGTTACATCAGGATGCTTTTGGCTATAAATAACAGAATACCAATCTAAAAGTCATATAAACAATTTGGGTTTACGCTTCTCACGTAAAATAAAGTCTGGCCCCAACGCTAGTTCAGGAGCCAGGATCTCCCACTCTACTATGCCATCCTCCTGATGTCTGAGGACCTCCCCCTCTTTGAGGGAATGCCTGCAAAAGTTCCAAGCCTCATGTGCTAACACAATACTGTCCACAAGCAGAAAAGAGTGGCACTGGACCTTCATTGACTTCTTTCATCTTATTAAGGAGGAGTATCTTTCCCAGAGACTCCAACAGACTCCCATAAGACCCTTTGGTTAGACTGGCTCAAACAACCATCCCTGCTGACAGGAGGCTGAGAAAGCCAGTATCTGGTATTTTCATTCTCTGTCATAGGATGTGTGCATCACAGTGGTTCACTGTTAAGATTAGTAAAATACTACTTCTGACCTTTAGTTATTAAGTAATATGTGGAATAACACAGAGGAAGAAGGCTGTTGTGAAGCTTTATATGATTATTTAATAGGATACCATAATCTTATCAATATAATAAAGAAGGCCAGGACATCAGAAAGTTTGCTGTGACAGTAATAGCTATAGCATAGTTAATAAGTAGCTAGGAATCCTTGACTAGAAGCCCCCTTTGAAGAAAGAGTCACAGGTGGAGCTTCAAACACACTAGCTGCAGAGATTCATTCCAGGAAGGCTCAAGCTGTTGTTACTTTTGGGTAATAAGGCACCTTTACCTACTGTAGGTAGCAAAACTAATGCCTATGATTGCACTAAAGGAACTGGCAGGAGTGGAGTGTTACTGAGTCCTGTGGGGGCTTAATTTGGGAAGGGACAACTAGCATGTGAGTTTCCTGGCACAAAATCGCCAATAAGATGAATCTATTCATCTTAATACATTCATCAATAAGATGAATCCATTCATCTTATTCTTGTTATGAGCAGGAGGGCAGCATGAAATTGTGTTGAATTAAAAAAAGAACCCACCAAACTGGATAGAGTCAAAAATATTCATGACTTTGTTCTAATTTTAGTGAATGTCTGTTTTAAGTAGGAGGAAGCTGGGTAAGAAAGGGGGAGTTTTCCTTCTCACAGGAGGTAAAGTTAGGCATTATAGATTTTAAATATGTCAAACAGACATCTATTCTTTGTGGCTAACATGTGATAGTAAATAAAATTAAGGTGACTTCAGTAAATTTAGTAATTCTTAAAACTGTGTTAGCAATGGCACATTTATTTACACAAATTTATTGTAATGTTTATAAATACATCAATAAACTACAGATCAAACTGAAAATCTGACCACATGAGTCTTTCCAATTCCCATATCACTGTATTGAACCACTTTCATGTTAACAGCAGCATGCATTATAATCATGTTCCTATAGTGTACTAAAAAGGTAAACAACACATTGTAACTGAGTTGTTTTTATTCATGATCTCTAAAAAGAAAAATTCATATGTAAAAATACCAACAGCATGTAAAATAAAATTCTAATCATTTCATCAGATTTGACTAAAAAAATTATTTAATATTTTGGCAGTTTATATTCTGGGAGGCTGAACTTCTGAACAGCTTCCTATCCAGTTTCCATTATCCTGTGAAAGCAGCCCACTACAGGAACTTCTACATATCCAATAACAGTCTTCGTATGTCTTGAAAAACTGAGAATGGATGAAAGCATTCATCAGAGGCCATGCTGTTCCTGCTGGCTTCTCTCTGATCTCACTCTGAATAATCTAGATATATCACAATGTGGGCCTTTCCTAGTTTTCACCACTACACTACATTGCAGAATGTAATGCTTTAGAATTCCAGAATTATATAACAATTTAATATGAAATCATGAGGTCATATCAGGAAAATTTCTGGCTTCATCCATGACTTGGACAGGTTTTAAATCACTATCTCTTTAATATTACTCTCCTTTTCATGCTTTCTAAAAGGCTCAAACTCTTTTCTCACTCTACAGTGATTAATGATCCAGAGAAACCAAGAAGCCATGAGTTGGGTACGTACAGTTGGCACATGCATTTCCTGGCACAAAATCACTAGGCAAATGGACTTTTTATGACTGTTTTAAGTTTAATATTTCATTTCACTAGTTAAGTGGTCATAAAATTGGCTAAAAGTAAAAATCTACATATGCACCACCATCAGAGACAGTTGAACTCTATGAAACATTTTTTCTTAAAATCTATTCTGTATATCTTAATAAATTCTAAACAGTTTAGTTAATTTAACAAAACTCTTTATAACTTGACCTGAAATCTAAATACTTTTAATGATTTATTTCCTACCCTGTTACATAGGTCTATTGCTTTTATACTTTAAGAAAAGAACTTTCTATTCTAAACTCTCAGCCATTTCCCAACCTGGCACTACAGATACAGTGTTTTCCTTTAGTCAGTTGCACAAGAATTAAATAGACCAGATAATTATATTCTAAACATCTGGTAAGCAAACATTTATTTGAAAAAAAAATGCGCATAGCAATCTTAAATACTCCCTAAAATTACATCAAATTGTCAACAAGGTAAAACTGGTATAGTCTCAAACAGTATATAGTTGACCACTACGATGCAGCCATTCTTTTTCCTATCATTTCCTCCTGCAAACTCCAACTTTAATTCCCTTTTTAACTCTCACTGGCAAACATGCTGTTTTGTTTGCTGCTTACACTTATGCCTGGCTTAAATTACTCTGTATTTGTTTGCTTTCGAGGTTCTAAAATCTTTTTTTCTCCAGTCCAAAATCTGTTCCCATTAGTAGTTTGCATTTTCATGAAATCCTATCAAGCTTACAAATAGTTAAGAGCCTACAATGGGTAAGATACTCTATAAGTAGCTTATAACTCAGGAAGGAAAAGAAAATAAACAAATGGAACAGTTAAGAATGAAATACTTAAATAGGGGCTCAAGATGAATTTTCCTCTTGTCTTGCAGAAGGACAGGTTTGGAATGATAAAAATGACTACAGCAGTAAAGAGTAGGAGAAATAAACACTCAGTAGTGAAGGAAAAAGATTATGGACCTTAAGTCTAATACGGATTTCTGTAAGGTAAGGGGTAGGAGGGTGTATCCACCTTCATAAACCAATATCCAAAGTGGGCCTCAGGATAAACAAAAATAATCCCTTAGGCACAGGACACACATCAGGTATTCAAAGCTGATAGAAGTAACACACAGAGGGGAAGTTGAGAAGGACTCTAGCCCTACTGGGTATTTAAGGATGGGACTGAAGGAAGGAAAGGATAATCCAAAGGACCAAGTGATCAGGAGCTCAGCTGCAACCTGGAAGCTACTAACAGCATAACTGGAAACAGAATATTTTTATATTTTGAGAAAAACTAGGATTTGGTAACTAATTGAAGAAAGAAAGACTCAGGGATGATTCCTGTATTGCATAAAGAGAAACTAAGTAATCTCTTAATTATATGCCAACTCTAAAATCCTATGCTTCAAGAATCTTTCTCTTAATAGTTAAAAAGGAAAAAAAGTCCTTAAGCAGTTTCCATTTTCTAGCATGATGGAGTTAAGACCCTATCGGTCAAATCATCCCTGTAGAAAACAATGACAAAATTTGGACATAAGATAAAGGTAATCATCAGAAGGTACTAGAGAGGGAGCAGAAGCAGACAGACTGGTGGGAGCTCATGTTCACTTGTGGGAAGGGAGATGGAAAGCTCTAAGAGTATGTTCCCTTCTCCAAAGCTTTCAGTCTCGGGCTAAAGGCAGTCCACAGAAAAATATGTGAATACAACACACAACTATAGCAGTGCTGAAAGAAAATGTGTAGTTCTAAACACCTGTGTTAAAAAAGGAACATGGTATTAGATCAATAGCTTAAGCTTCTATGTTAAGAAACTAAAAAATTTTAAAAAAAGCAAATTAAGCCCAAAGAACATAAAAGTTAGGAAATAATAAAGATAAGAATAGAAATCAGTAAAACTAAAAACACAGATTGATGAGGGGAGGGAAAGAAATCAATGAAACCAAAAGCTGATTATTTTAGGGGAGAGGGGCAAACTCAATAAAACTGACAAAACTCCAGCCAGATTGAACAAGAAAAGTGAGAAATAAAAGAAGGGATTAACCACAGACTCTTTAAGCATTAAAAAATTAACAAAATATTATTAACAACTTGATGCCTCAGTTTGACAACTTAGGTAACACAATTTCTTGAAAAATTACAAGAAACAGATGAACTAAAGAATTCAATATCAACTCAAAAAATTGAGTTTGTAATTAAAAAGACACCCACTAAAAAAAACTCCAAGCTTAGATGGCTTCACTGGTGAATTCCTTTAATCATTTAAAGAGGAAATAACATCAGTCCTATACAAACTCTTAACAGAAAACACGCAAGGAGAGAACACTGACCATCTCATTTTATGAGGTCACAAACAGATAAATATCTCACAAGAAAAAAGAACAAAATCCTTATTGAACACAGATACAAAAACCCTTTAAAGCTATTAGCATATTGAATCCAAAAATACATTAAAAAGGTTAAGTGGAGATAATCCTAGAAATGTAAGGTTAGTTTACCATCAGAGATTAACCAATGCAATTTAACATATTAATAGAACAAGGGAGAAAATTCATCTTATCATTCTAAGAGGTACAGAAAAAGCATTAAAACCAAATTTGACACCGTTTTATGATAAAAGTCACAGCAAATCAGGAATAGAAGGGAACTCCTCAACCTAATTAAGAGCATCTGTGAAAAATCTACAGTTAGCATTATACTCAACAGTGAAAGGCTCAAAGCTTTCTACCTAACATCAGGGACACGGCAAGGATGTCTGCCCTCAACACTTCTACTTAACATTATACTAAAAGAATAGCCACCGCAATAAGGCAAAAAAAAAAAAAAAAGCCATAAAAGTCGAATATTAAAATTAAAATAATATTTACATACAAGCAATGTGATTATGTATAAAGAAACCCTATGGAACCCACAAAGCATGTAGAATAGTTGAATTTTGAAAAGTTGCAGGATACAAAAATCAACTGCATTTCTATAAACTGGCAGCAAACAATTGGAAAGTAAAAACTTAAAACAACTCCAAAATAGCATCAATCAAAAATATTCAGAAACAAATCAAATGCAAGTTGTGAAAGACCTTTATATGAAAAACTACAAGTACTGCAAAGGGAAATTAGATTGAATGAAATCACAATAAAAATCCTGAGGAATTTTTGAAGAAATTACCAAACTTATTTTAAAATTTTAATGGAGAGGAAAAATACTCAAATAGTTGAAAAAAATTTAAAAGAACTGCTGATTTCAATTCTTGCTATAAAATTACAGTATCATGACAGAGTGACATTGATGAAATAACACTTACCGGACAAATAATTTTCAAAAAAGGTGTTAAGTTAGTTGAGTGGATAGTGGGTAGACTTTTTAATAAAAGCTGATGGAAAACTGGAAAGCTGTATAGGAAAAAAATAATCATTGACCCTGCCTCACAATAAAAACTGAATCAAAATGGGTCACACATAAAGTTAAGAAGTAAGACCATTAAACTTCTTGGGAGGGGAAAATATTTGTGACACAAGGTCAGACAAAGAAAGAACAATAAGAAGAAATGGTTTAAAAAGACCTCATGAAGATAAAGTTTGCTCTTTGAAAGACAGGTTTAAAAAAAGTAGAAAGGTAAACCACAGTCTGGGGTAAAAAACTGCAAAAATCCTATCTATAAAGAGCCTATATCCAGAATTTTTGAAGAACTCTTATAGAGCAACAGTTAGAGAAGAAACAACCCATAAATAAAGGAGAAAAGATATGACTAGAAACATCATAAAACAAGCTATATGAATGGCCAATGAGCAAAGGAGAAGAGGATCAAAATCCCTAGTCTTAAGAGAAATGAAAATTGAAACAACAGTAAGTTGCCACAACAAAGCCACAAAAATAGCTGAAGTTAGAAAGACTGATAACACCTAATGCTGACAAGGATATGGGACACCTGGAACTCTCTCTTACACTACTGGTAAAAATGTAAAAGGGGAAAAATTGTATGGAAGTTACAAAGTTACACACACATTTACCATATTATCCAGGGGTTTGGGTGCAAAAGGGCACAAGGATACAACTTGACTGTTGTGAGTTACATGACGGTATGCAATTTAAAACTGGTTAATTTTATTGAATGTAAGTAATACATTAAAAGTAATATAAAGGTATGGTAAATAAAACAGCATGGTACTTATGCATAATTAGATCAACAGAAGAGAACAGAAAGTCTGGGAACAGACCCTATAACAAATGGAAATTCAGAATAAAATAAAACCTGATAAAATGTGACATTTCAAACTAATCAAGAAAAGATTATTCAGAAAAGAGTACTGGGCTTAGTAGCTATTTGGGGGGATAAACAAGAAGTCTCTTTCTCCTAGATTTTTTGTTTAATAACTTTTTTTTTCTTTTTTAAGAGACAGGGTCACACTCTGCTACCCAGGCTGGAGTGCAGTGGTGCAATCATAGCTCAATGTAGCCTTAAACTCCTGGGCTCAACTCCTCAGCCAACCAAAAAGCTGGAATTACCATGCCCAGCTCTCCTAGCTTAGACCAGAGTAAGCAAGACAAGTGAAACCATAAAAGCATGATGGAAAAGCTAAGTTTGCTATAAAATCCAGATGATGTAAAAGATTAATCAGTTTGACTGTATGAAAACAGTAGTTCCACTAGAAAAAAAATAACCTAAACACAGAAAATGGACAAGAGACAGAGAAAATATTAGCAACTCACCCCAGACAAAATGTTAATATTTCTACTAAGAATTTGTATAACCCAAAAGGATAAAGACTAACATTCCAATAGAAAAATGTCCAGCCTCATTACCTTTAAAAAAAATAAATGTGGCCGGGTGTGGTGGCTCACACCTGTAATCTCAGCACTTTGGGAGGCTAAGGCAGGCGAATCATGAGGTCAGGAGTTCAAGACCAGCTTGGCAAACATGGTTAAACCCTGTCTCTACTTAAAATACAAAAAGTAGCCGGGCGTGGTGGCAGGCGCCTGTAATCCCAGCTACTTGGGAGGCTGAGGCAGGAGAATCGCTTGAACCCGGGAGGCGGACATTGCAGTGAGCCAAGATTGTGCCATTGCACTCTAGCCTGGGGGACAAGAGGGAGACTTTGTCTCAAAAAAAAAAAAAAGAAAGGAAAAGAAAGAAAAATAAATATAAACCTACATTGAAATATCTTCTTTATCTAAGTTTGCCAAAGACCCAGGTATTTCATAGCACCATGTTTTTGAGAGTGTAATGAAACAGCATATATACTGTTGTTTGACATATAAATTGATTTAATTCCTATGGATGGAAATGGACAATATCTCTCATACTCTGATCTAGGTTTCAACTCTTACTGATAAATTCAGTTTTATGTGAAATACTGCACAAAGAAAATCACTGCAACATTATTAGTAAGTGCTGAAGATTGGAAAAATTTAAACAGTGGATGGGTTAAAAATACCATGTATCCTTAAATACTATGATATCATTTAAAAATAATGCAGCAATAGATACACTGACATGGAATAATCTCCAACATATATTGCTAAATACTTTCTAAAAATATGAAGAACAGTGTATATATTTTGTTACACCCATTTCTATTTAACAAAATTGAGTGCAAGAAAACAATCTGCTTGTCCATGCATGGAATAGCTCTGAAAACAACTGTTAACGACTGTTTTGGGGAAACCGAGTGACAACAGAGCCAGGATGAGACAAAAATGTATTTTCTGTATACAACTCTTTGTAGCTTTTGATTTTGTACAATGTACCTGTTAGTTATAATACATAAAAATTTAAGTAATTAGACATTTTATTTAAAATTAAATATTTTTATGCCTTGACTCTAGAACTAAACAGACCAGGTTTCATAATTTATTGCCACCCCATAGTATCTATGTGGAACAAGGCAAATTATTTAACATTCTTAAACTCCATTTTCTTTAAAAGGATTATGTTATGATATGCAGTTGTGACCTTTAAATAAGATAATGTATATAAAGTCCCTTACACAGTATTCTGTACACAGCACATAATAACAAATTATTAGAGATTCTTTTACCTTTTCCTTCTCCTGAAATTATACCCGAGTTGAAAATTTTTTTGACATCTAATTTAAGATGGACCATGATTAAGAAGTACAAACCATTTATCCAAGAGAAGATTCCTTAAAATGATTAGTGGACAATTTACTTTAGCATGATCCATACATGGTAATCTAAGGTTTTTGTTTATATAGTTTTATAACACATGTTCTTAAATAAGTTGAAGATAGACCAGCCAAGCCTGTTAAAACAGTATATATAACATTAAAAGAGAACATTTAGTGGTGTCTAGATCCTGACTAAACATGCTTGGCTCTAAAGTTTCATTTTTAAAAAAATTAGCCAGGCATCATTGTGCCAGCTTGGATTAATAGTTTTAGCTACTCAGGAGGAGGGTGAGGTGGAAGGACCACTTGAGCCCAGTTCAAGATTGCAGTGAGCTATGATCATGCCACTGTACTCTAGCATGTGTGAGAGTGAGACCCTGTTTAAAAAAAAAAAAAAAAAAAAAAAAAGGCCTGGCGCGGTGGCTCAAGCCTGTAATCCCAGCACTTTGGGAGGCTGAGGCGGGCGGATCACGAGGTCAAGAGATCCTGGCCAAAATGGTGAAACCCCATCTCTACTAAAGATACAAAAATTAGCTGGGCGTGGTGGCGTGCGCCTGTAGTCCCAGCTACTCCAGAGGCTGAGGCAGGAAAATCGCTTGAACCAGGTAGGTGGAGGTTGGAGTGAGCCAATATCACACCACTGCACTCCAGCCTGGGTGACAGAGCCAGACTACATCTCAAAAAAAAAAAAAAAGAGGTTGGGGGAAGTTGGTAGAATTCAGTAGTGAAGCCATCTGGTGCTGAGCTTTTCTTTGCTGGGAGATTTTTTAAATTATTGATTTAATCTCATTACTTGTTATTGGTCTGTTTGGGTTTTCTGTTTTTCCCTATTTCAATCTTGAAAGTTTATATGTTCAGGAATTTATCAATTTCTGCTATGTTTTCCAATTGGCTGGCATATAGTAATTCGTAATATTCTCTAATGATCTTTTGTATTTCTGTGGTATCAGTTGTAATATCTCATATTACATTTCTAATTTTTTTATTACAGTTCTAATTTTTTTATTTTTTATTTTTTTTTGAGATGGAGTCTGGCTCTGTCACCCCACGCTACAGTGCAGTGGTGCAATCTCAGCTCACTGCAACCTCCACCTCCTGGGTTCAAGCGATCCTCCTGCCTCAGCCTCCCAAGGAGCTGGGATTACAGGTGCCCACCATCACCTAATTTTTGTATTTTAGTAGATATGGGGTTTCATCATGTTGGCCAGGCTGGTCTCCAACTCCTGACTCAGGTGATCCACCCGCCTTGGCCTCCCAAAGTGGTAAAGCCATGAGCACTGCACCTGGCCTAATTTTCTTTTTCATCGTCTCTCTTTGTTACTTAGTCTAACTAATGGTTTATCAGTTTTATTTATCTTTCCAAAAAAATCAACATTCCATTTCATTGACCCTTTGTATTTTTTAGTTTCTATTTTGCTTAGTTCTGCTCTAATCTTTCTTATATCTTTCCTTTTGCTAATTTTCAGTTTGGTTTGTTCTTGCTTTCCTAGTTCATAGAGGTGTATTAGGTTATTTATTTGAAATCTTTTTACTTTTTTGATGTAGGCATTTACTGCTATAAGCTGCGCTCTTACTACTGCTTTTGCTGTATCCTATAGGTTTCGGTGTGTTATGTTTCTATTTTCATTTGCTTCAAATTTTTTTTTTATTTCCTTCTTAATTTCTTCATTGATCCACCGGTCATTCAGAAGCATGTTTAATTTCCAAGTATTGGTACAGTTTCCAAATTTCCTCTTGTTATTAATTTCTAACTTTATTTCATTGTGGTTTGACAGGATACTTAACATAATTTCGATTTTTTAAAATTTGCTGAGACTTGTTTTGTGGCCTAACACACGATCTGTCCTGGAGAATGTTCCACGAATTGATGAAAATAATGTATATTCTGTGGCTGTTAAATATTATTTAAATATCTGTTAGGTCCACTTGGTCTATAATGCAGTTTAAATCCAGTATATGTCTTGGTTGATTTTCTGTCTGGATCATCTATCTGTTGCTGAGAGTGAGGTGCTGAAGTCCTCAACTATTACTATATTGGGGTCTAACGCTCCCTTTAGATCTAACAGTATTTGCTTTATATATCTGGGTGCTCCGGTGTTTGGTGTGCGTGCGTGTGTGTGTGTGTGTGTGTGTGTATTTACAATTGTTATATCCTCTCGCTGAATTGATCCCTTTATCACTATATATTAATAATTGCCTTCTTTGTCACTTTTTATGTTGTAGGTTTTTTTTCTTTTTTTTAACTTGAAGTCTATCTTTTTTTTTTTTTGAGACGGAGTCTCGCTCTGTCGCCCAGGCCGGACTGCGGACTGCAGTGGCGCAATCTCGGCTCACTGCAAGCTCCGCTTCCCAGGTTCACGCCATTCTCCTGCCTCAGCCTCCCGAGTAGCTGGGACTATAGGCGCCCGCCACCGCGCCCGGCTAATTTTTTGTATTTTTAGTAGAGACGGGGTTTCACCTTGTTAGCCAGGATGGTCTCGATCTCCTGACCTCATGATCCACCCGCCTTGGCCTCCCAAAGTGCTGGGATTACAGGCGTGAGCCACCGCGCCCGGCCAACTTGAAGTCTATCTTATCTGATACACTATACCTACTCCTGCTCATGTTTGGTTTCCATGTGCATAGAATTTCTTTCTCAATTCCTTCATTTCAGTCTATGTGTTTCTTCACGGGTGAAGTCAGTTTCTTGCAGGCAGCATATAGTTGGGTCCTGCTTTGTATTTTTAAAAAATTCATTTAGCCAGTCTATATTTTTTAAATGGGGAATTTAAATGCTTTACATTCAAGGTTATTAATAGGTGAGGACTTATCCCCACTACTTTTAAATTGATTTCCAGTTATTTTGTATATCTTTTGTATCTTTCTTCTTGTCTTATTGTTTATCTATGCAATTTGGTGACTTTTCTGTAGTGTTAACGTTTGAGTCCCTTCTCTTTTTCATCTATATATCTGTTCTATTAGTATGTTTTATCTGCATGTTTTCATAATGCTTAGATATCACTTTTTTACTGCAGATGCAGAAGTAATTAATCATTTCTCTTAGGGCCAGTCTAGTGATGATGAATTCCCTCATTTTCACTTGTCTGGAAAGACTATGTCTCCTTTATTTCTAAAGAATAGCATTGCCAGTTACAGTATCCTCGGCTGACAGTTTTTTCTTTCAGCATGTTGAATATATCATCCCATTCTCTCCTGGCCTGTAAAGTTTCTGCTAAGAAATCTGCCATTAGTCTGATGGGGATTCCCTTTTATGTGATTCGACACCTTTCTCTAGCTGTTCATAGAATTCTCTCTTGACTTTTGAGAGTTTGACCATAAAGTGCCTTGGAGAAGGCCTTTTCAGCTTCAACCTATTTGAAGATCATTGGGCTTCCTGTATCTGGATGTCCATATTACTCCCAAGACTTGGAAAGTTTTCAGCTATTATTTCATTAAGTAGGTTTCAATGCCTTTTTTCACCTCGTCTTCTCCAACTCCCATAATGCAAAAATTGATCGCTTAATGATGTTCCACATGTTCTGTAAGCTTTCTTCATTCTTTCTTTTGATCTAGCTGGGTTATTTGAAAACATGTGTTTTCAGGTTCAGAAATTCTTTCTTCTGCTTGATCTAGTTTATTGTTGAAGCTCTTGATTTTATTTTTATTTCATTTACTGAATTTTTCAGTTTTGAGATTTGATTCTTTTTTATGATATCTACCATTTTCCTGAATTTCTCATTGAGATCATGAATTGTTTCCTGATGGTGTTGAATACTTTATCTGTGTTCTCTTGTATTTTGCTGAGTTCCCTTAAGATCTTTATTTTGAGTTCCTTTTCAGGCATTTGATAGGCTTCCTTTACTTTGGGGTATATTAACTGGAGAATTCTTGTGTTCCTTTGGAGGTATCAGGTTTCCCTGCCTTTTCACGTTTCCTGTGTTCCTACACTGGTATCTGTGCATATGATGGAACAGCCACTTTTTCCAATTTTATGATATAGCTTTCATAGGGAAAAACTTTTTCCTGTAGATATGTCATACAGTCTCAGTTGGGTAGGGTGCCTTGACTTTGGTTCCATGTAAGAACAGTAATATAGACTCCATATGATTTCTTCAGCTTTTATCAACATCATTGGTGTCTACTGAGTGCCTCACTGGCCTAGGCTGCAGCTGTTTGTGGATGCTGTGGTGTGGCTTTACTGGAAGCAAGAACACTGGGAAGGCAAGTCTTTTTTGACCCTGGGGGGTGAACACACGTATGCACACAATGCTCTACCATTAGAAGGGACAGAATTGCCAGCAAGCCCCAGGTGCATGTCATTCTACTCTTAATCTTCTTCTCCCCACTCTTAGTACTCTTCATAAAGACAGGAGGGCAGAAGGGAATGTTTTGGAATTTATTTCTCTTCATAAATCAATTGAACACTTATGGCATTATTTGTTTTCTCATACTAAAAGAGATGGGTGATACATGGTTTTCTTTCCTCTCCTGCTTGATTTCATAACTTTTTTTAAATTAGGGTGAAGAAAAATACACAGCTGCCATTGTCCTACAAAAACCTCTGTAAGAGGACTTTTAATTATGGATTCAATCTCTATTAGACACATAACTGTGGCTTTTTCATTTTCTGTTAATGTCAGATTTTGTCAGTTGTATTTTTCTGTATTTTTTAAATCTCATATACACTTTTAAAGTCATTGGTATAATGTTATTCTTAATATCCTGTTAGTATATCTCATGTAGAATCAATCTTGCTACTGGTAATATGTGCCTTCTCTTTTATTTATCAGTCCTCTTAGGGATGTGGCAGTTTTTTAAATACTGAGATCTTAGACACATCTTCAATCTGTGGGGCTATGCTCCCTCCTCTAGAATCTTTGAGGATGGTAACTGCTTCCACCAATAACATATGATAGGAGTGATACTGTTTGAATTCTAAGGCTAGGTCATAAAATACCTTGCAGCTTCTTGCTGGTTCTCAAGTGAAAGTGTTCTCTAAGGAAAGCCAGCTGCCATGTAAGAAATCTGAGATCACTATATTGGAAAAGTGGCAAAGAGAAAGATAAAGATATAAGTACAAAGGCAATTAAAACACAAACAGTTGGCCGGGCGCAGTGGCTCACGCCTGTTCCAGCACTTTGGGAGGCCAACGCAGGCGGCTTACGAGGTCAGGAGATCAAGACCATCCTGGCTAACACGGTGAAACCCCGTCTCTACTAAAAATACCAAAAAATTAGCCAGGCGTGGTGGCTGGCGCCTGTGGTCCCAGCTACTTGGGAGGCTAAGCCAGGAGAACAGCGTGAACCTGCGAGGTGGAGCTTGCAGTGAGCCGGAGCTTGCAGTGAGCCCAGATTGCACCACTGCACTCCAGCCTGAGCGACAGAGAGAGACTCCGTCTCCCAAACACACACACACACACACACACACACACACACACACACACACACACACACACACAGTAAATCAACTACAAACACCCTTGCTAGTCTATCCTTACTAGTCTATCCTGTGAGGGCCTGCCCTTTGCCCTCACAAATCATAAACCACGTCAGTATACTAATAGAGGAATGGTTTAAGAGGGTACATAGTTTAAGTGAGAAATGTTACCTAGGTAAACCACAGAAGTATAAATGTAATTAACAAGGCTGTCAGGAGGATATAGTGGGTACTTCATATACCCATGTGAATAACTGGTTTGAATATATTTATAATCTTTCCCCTCCCTTTTTCACATTAAGTAGCAAGTTGAGAAAGGAGGCCATTTATTTTTAACATGCAATGTTGAAATATCCCTACTTCTCCAACACACAATGAACATGTTGTATTCCTAGCCATTTAAAATAAACATTTCCAGGAACTTTAATATTATATTATACAAGCGCGATAAAAACATTTTTTAAAAAAAGTTATAGATTGGGGAAGTTCAGAAAGTACCAGCACCTAGCATAATGAATGCTTCGAACCTACATATTCAATTAATACTTACTACATGAATATGAATGAATCAGTCAATGTCAAGTACTTTATCAGCACAGACCAGTTTCTGGCCGAAATCACAAGTACTACCTGCAATAAAAAGTTACTAAACTATTAATTCATATCCTTCAATGCTGTGGTCCTCAGATACTATATATCCATTTCCTTGAGAACAGTTTATTTTCTCTTTCAGAGTAATATTTTTTAAAAACAGATTAAAATAAAGTCATCTGCCATAGCAGATCCACTAAAGACAAAAGAACCAGAGATTGTTTTTGGCCCAGTGAGGAAAAAAATGGAATCGCTTTAATGCTTAAGTCAGTTTTACAGTGGGTGCATTACATCTAAAATGAATGAACCACTTAAAATAATGTGTGAATAACCTACCAAATCCAGGAACACCTTTGAGACTCGCTTTGAGGCAAATTTTCTCCAATCTGAGGTAGCTATATCGCATCAGGCAATTCCACAGGAACATCCAGTCCATTCTTGTCCGATGGTTCATGATAATGACACTTCTTTCTCCAGGAACAAATGCATCCCCAGTTATAATCACTTTTACACCAAACATGGTCTCCAATAATGCCTAAGAAAACAATACAGATATACAGCAAATTAAAGTTATGATTTTCCATAGGTAAATTTTATCATGCCCTATAAATAAATCTTATGATTTCTAACATGTAAAAGTTAGTATTTCCCATGATCCTTGCTTCTATAATAAAAAATTGAGTGGTGAGGTTATCTAGAAGAATGAGAATATCAAGCACTATTTCTATTTTAAGCTTCTGTGATGTCCTAATTAAAAAATGCTGATTGTCCTTGAAATCAAGATATCTTATTAAGCAAAAAGTATAAAAGGTGAATATCAATATTCTACTGTGTAATATTTTAAGGATATAGATATGTAACATTATTACCTTTTTTTCTAGAAAGAACAGTCAAAGAATTAGCACTGGGTACAGGGGAAAAAAAAAAATCCCGGAAAGGTAAACTGTTCACTTTATAGCATCCTGTACTATGATGTTTTAAAAACAAAAACATAGATCTTATTTATTTTGACACTATGTAAAGAATAAATTAACTATACATCTACTAAAATACTACAAGCCTTAGTACCTAGAAAATAGTAATGTTCAAATAATTGCTGAATTTCCTTAATTTGCTTTTCTGATGGGCCAGGTATATAATACATATGAAGTATTTAGAAAAACAATATATTATAGACTTATGAGTTCTTGAAAGTAAAATAACAGATTACAATAAAAGCTGATTATTGATTTCAAACTCTTCTTTGAATTCTCAATTTACATGTAACAAATTTACTAGTTAATATTTGACTTATTAATAAAGAGAGAAATTGATCTAAAGGCAAATATACGATACAGAATCAAAAGTTCTCTTGGCGAATATCATGATAATCTTGAACAAGGTATAGCCAATAGACAAACTGTGGTATACTCATATAATGGAAAAATGATACAACAATGAAAGTAGATGAACTACAAGTACCTACAGCAACATGAAAGATACACAGAAGCATAATTTTGAAAGACAGCAAAACAAACAAAAATATATACAATAAATGTCAATATATAAGACTTTCTAAAAGATTAAGATATTTTAAAGATGATTATATAGATGCTAAAATTATAAAGAACAAGAAGAAAATAACTATCTTAAAAGTCAGATTAATGAATACTTCTACCAAAAGGAGGATGTTTTCATTGGAAGTCTAGGTAGCTTGCTGGAGAACTGACAATGCTGTATTTCTTGACCTGGTTGACAGTTACACGCAAAATTTTTCATTAAATTGTACATTTGTGTTTTAATAACTTTTCGGTATGTTTGCTATACTTCACAACAAAAAGGCATTTTTTTAAAAATGCAATATGAAACAGTAAGACTTTGAAAAACATAACAGGATCAATAAAACATAGGTTCAAAATAATATTAGCTAAAGAAATATACTAGAAAGTAAAAAGAAGTTAGAAAAGTTATATGTCCAAATTGTTACAGAGTCAAAGTGTTAACATCCTGATACAAAATCATTTGGGCTAAGTAGCTACAGATATCCCATAGGTCCATTAAGTTACTTTCCCACAGCTGAGGTTCACTTTCAGCATGGGTATTTAATCCAGTTATCTATTATGTCCTAGAACGATGGCCTCCAAGAGGTCAATAAAAATGTATTTCTCTTAAGCTGTATATAAAGATATGTCAATGTGTACACATACTTTGCTAGGTAAAATGCTTGCAGTTTTCATCAAATTTTCAAAAGGGTCCATAACCGCTCAACTAATTATAACCCCTACTCCAAAAAGTCCCTTGAAAGTGAAATACCTACATGGAAGACCTCCTGGTAAAAAGGATCATGGCAGAGTCCTACAGGTGTGGATCCACAGCAAAAAATGTCCCTTTTTCTTTTTTTTCTTTTGAGACGGAGTCTCACTCTGTCGCCCAGGCTGGAGTGTAGTGGCGCGATCTCGGCTCACTGCAACCTCTGCCTCCCGGGTTCAAGTGATTCTCCTGCCTCAGCCTCCCGAGTAGCTGGAATTACAGGTGCCCGCCACCACACCCAGCTAATATTTTGTATTTTCAGTAGAGACAGGATTTCACCACGTTGGCCAGGCTGGTCTTGAACTCCTGAACTTGCGACTCGCCCGCCTTGGCCTCCAAAAGTGCTGGGATTACAGGCATGAGCCACCGTGCCCGGCCAAGAGTTAAAAATCTTAAGCCTATAAATTCCAAACCTCAAATCTAAACCTATATATGCAATCTCTAATATATGATACCTATAGATCCCAAACAATCCTTTGCTTTTCATTATGAAAAATAACATAAAAAATCCAAGACTGGGATGGGTGTGGTGGCTCACATATGTAATCCCAGCACTTTGGGAGGCTAAGGCAGGAAGATCGCTTGAAGCCAGGAGTTTGAAACTAGCCTAGGCAACATAGCAAGACTCCAGCTCTACAAAAAATTTTTAAAGGCCAGGCATTGTGGAACATGCCCAGAGCCTTAGCTACGCAGGAGGCTGAGGCAGAAGGATTACTCGAGTCCAGGAATTTCAGGTTACAGTGAGATCTGACTGCACCACTACACTCCAGCTGGGCAAGAGAATGTAGTCTCCAAAAAAGCAACAACAACAACAATCAAGACCATGTGTCCAGGAACATCTCATATAACATGACATCCTCTCCCTTGACATCCAGCATTCTACCAGAATATGCCTGAAAGTTATAAATAACCTTTGGGCAGCCAAGATCTCAAGTCCACATTAATTGGTTGTAATACCAGATGAGACATATCCAGTCAACCTTATTTACAGCTCCTGCAAAGGCAGAAAAACAAATATACTACACAGAAATAAAGCTGTAATATCTATACAGAACTCCAGAATTCAATTAATCCAGACTAAAAGACTGGGAAAAAAGACACTATTCTCACATTTCTCATGTTTATTTTATTGCTAGTATAGGAGATAATAGTGTCAACAGTAATAAATCTAACAAAATTTTATAATGCATTGTTTCTTATATTGAAGAGTAACAATTCTGATAATTTTTACCTAATTGGTCAAAGATTTCTCTGTGTATTATTTAACAGAAATATGGAAGCATTTTCCAAGGATCTTTTATATACCACTACTTACTATGTCCAAGTGTTCCATTGTGTATAAAAACACAAAGATGAGAGTGGTTCCTCTCAAGATCACAGAGAAAGTTTTACCATCATGCCCGCTGCTCTCACTCTCATTTATCATTCTGATGGATCTTTACTTAGTCTGAGGTAATAACAACTCATCTCCATGTCTGCTTTTGCTTTTCAGGCTCAGATTAGGTCTGGTTCTCCAAATCCCTAGCTACTTGAGGCTTTGCAATCCCAACTCATTCTTCAAAACACTGAGCACCCACTTTGTTAAGAGCAACAGTGTAGACAAAAATCACATTCAGCAATCTATGTTTATTCAACACCTGTTTTGTGCTAGGACTGGAATGGTATCAGAAGGCTGTGGAAGAAACTTGTGCCCTGGGTAGACAGTTAGAAAATGACCTCTAAATTCCTAAGGCATGATTTATGGTGAAAGGACAGAACTCCAGTAATTTTCATAATCCCAGGTAGTAATCAGACTGTCGGTTAGTTAGAATTTTGAGAAGCAAAAACTGCTCTGAGCACATGCTGAGTTTGACCCTTACAATATTCATTATGTTGAACAGAATGGTCCAAAAATAAAAGGAACAAAGGCATGCACTCCGAATTATAGAAACATTCAAAGAAAGACTGAATGGTCACCCTGCAGATAGTTCTAGAACGGATTCTTGCCCACAGAGTTAGGTTAGACAAAGTGACCTCTAAGTCTCATCTAAGATTCTAAAACATTTCACTGCTATGCCTCTTTTAGCACAGAAATGTGCTCCTTAAAAATAGTAAGACAAGAAAAATCTTGCCAACAAAATCATTTTAATCCACAAGAGAAACTTAATGAAAGAGAAGATCATTTTGTGACTATTTTTGTGAAGCAATAATTAGTTTAAGTGCATTTATCCTAATTTATTTTTAGTGGAAAATTATTTTTAACTGTTTGGGATTGCTTAAAATAAAGTACATCAATAAGGGATAGAAGAAAAGCTTTTAGATTAAATTCACTCTGAATTTAAAAAGAATATATTTTATTATTGCTTAAAAACTCCTTTAGCTCCTTGTACGAGTATGAGATAAAAGGTGATAAAAGACACCCTTGATGGTTCTTCTCTGTTTCCTTCAACAGAGATGTTCACTATCTCAAAACTAGAATATCAATTTTTCTGTAACCTAGCTATAAGGAATTCAACATCTATACATTTCTTAACTAAAAAAACTTTCTCTGTCTGATATGCTGTAACTAGTAAACTAAACAGCTGAGTGACAGCAGTTTTCCAAATGTATACTAATTTTTTACTAGTACTGTGGTAGTTAAATCTTACCCATGTGTTAAACTGTCCAAACAGCTAATAAGACAAAAGTTAGGAATAGGTGAAATTATCTTTGAAAATCTCATAGGATGGTGCATCTCAAAAGATCACACTATCAGTAAGTCCAGCTCAGCCAATCTTCTCCCAAAATTGTACTATATTGATATTACCCTACCTGACCATCAGACAAAGTGATTGGTTTGTATATTGTTTAAAAATATCTATCTTTAAACACAAGAATCACACTCAGCAGAGAACCACTCATATTTCCTATTTCATCTCACATGAAGCAGAAAAAAATTCATTCTCTTCTCTGCCCACTCTTCCCTTACCTTAGTGCATGTAATTGAAACTGTACAAATACTGTAGGTGTATAATGTAATTCTGCAGTAATAGTAATGCTACTAGCAGTAATAATAGCAGAAATAGCTATTGCAGAATTTGTTTGGTAACTTGTCCTATAAATACCAGCATTTCTTCCAGATTAAGAATTTTAACTGTGCACATGGCTGCCCAGAAAAAAAAGACATTTCCCAGATTCTATTACAGCTTTTAGCTGCTCTTACCAATAGAGTAAGCAAAAGTGATATGTGCAACTTGCTATGTACTACACACGTGAGTCACTGGTATAGAAAGAAAGCATTTGCTCTGGACTTCCTCCAGAGTGGGGCAAAGAAGTGGCAGTGACCCAGTCTTGACCAAATACAAGAGGACATTATACCAGGCTGGAGGCCAAGCTAGGTGGATTAACAGGATAGAAGACATCTGAACCCTTTGATGACATCAGGGACCGTAGGGACCTTGCCAGCCTGGACCTGTAAGTCAATATAGTTCTACTGTATTGGAGCCACTATATTTTGAATTTTCTCCAAAACACCAGTTTAGCCTAAAATTAATATAAAAGCAAAACTAAAACTAAAACTAAAATTAATATAATACCAAATATTTACCGGGTACTTACCAAATGGCAAGCATTATACTAAAAAGGCTATATATTTATTACCTCATTTAGTCATTACAATGACTCTCTGATGTAAGTAGGTAGTATTAAGACTCCTTTTTATAGAGATGAAGAAACAAAAGCTTACAATGAGGCTAAGGAGCTTAGCCAAGTTCAAATGACTAGAAAGTGGGAAGGCCAATAGTGAAACCAAATATCTGTCTGCAATGTCTGTGAAAATAAGCACTCTGCTTATGCTCGCTCTCCAAAAATTAGAGTGACTGGACACTGTAAAGCATTACAACTGTAGTAATTTTTACCAATTCTCAGAACTCTCAAGGTTTTGGCAGAAAGATTCAACAAAAATGTGTGGTTCATAATTAAAGGATTATATACTATAGAAAACTGATGACATTTAGAAAATGGAGTACAGTAACAATACATGACTGTTACAAAAAATCTTTTACCTCTGAATGTTTGCTTTACAATCAGATATACAATTCTGAATCCAGAATAGATCTCAAAGATCATTTACTCCAATTTCTTTATTTTACAGATGATGAAACAAACACTAAAAATAGTTACATAAATGACATGAAAACAGTCAAATGTTTCAATAGGAAATGTCTCTGATTTTATGATGACAGCAAAATTACTTAACATACAGTTTGTAGATGACGTTTTAGAAGTATCTACTTGTGATGATTAATATTACATAAACTGAACAGTATTCTTATTTTACTTAATATATGTATATAGAGAAATACCCACCTTGTAAATAGAGAGTGATAGTGGTTAAGCAGCAACAAAAAATGAGTATTTTATGGCAAATGGTATGTTTAGGGTTGCAATGAAACACTGGGCTTCATATCTTTAAAGCTAATTTAAAAATGTAACTCTAAAAATTAATAGTCTTAGAAGTCAACTTCTGTCCTCTAAAAAAAGAAAAAGACTTTTAGTCACATGAAAGCCAGAAAAGAAATTAGTCAAGCTCTGTAAATCTACAATTAGGATAAGATATTTTAGGTAGAGGACTATTATCTCCTCAAGGACAGAGATCATATCTGTCCTGTTCATCACTGCATCCTAGCAAAATGCTAGGTACGTGGTAGACAATAAAAAATTGCTGGATGAACATTAAGAGATCCTGCCAACTACTCTTGCAATCCAATCACAAAACAAAGCATACTTATATTAAAAAAGCAAGAAGAAATTTTGCCTAAAAGACTGGCCCTGACAGAGTAAAAGGTACTAGACATCATCCAGCTGACTTAAAGGAAAATATGGCTATAATTAATAAATAGATGAGAAATCTCAAGAAAGTAACAGAACCAATAAAGAACCCAAAATAAATTCCAGAACTTACAGTATTTTAAATAAAAATTCACTAGATGAACAAAACAGCAGATTAAAGATGATAGAAGAAAGGGTCATTGAGCTTGAAAACAGATAAACAGAAATCATTCAATATGAAAAATACAGGGAAAAAATACAGGGGAAGAAAAAAGGAAGAGAGCCTTTGTGACATACGTGACAAGACAATCAATCTAACATACATATAATTGTAGTCCCAAAATGAGGAGAGAGAGAATAAGGCAGAAAAAAATGTGAAAAAAATAACAGTCTAAAATTTCCCAGTTAAAAAAATATAAAAACCAACCAACCTATCTATCTAAGAAGCCCAATGGAACACAGCAAAATACATGCAGCCCTCCACATCCCTGCGTTCAGCATTTGTGAATTCAACCAATCATGGATCAAATATATTCATGGGAAAAAAGGATGGCTAAGCCTGTACTGAGGATGCACAGATTTTTTTTCCCTGTCATTCCCTAAGCAATACAATTCCCTAACAATAACAACTATTTACATAGCATTTACGTTGTAGTCGGTATTATAAGCAATCTAGAGATTATTTAAAGCATACAGAAGGATGTGCCTAGGATATGTGCAAATACTGTAGGGACTTGAACATCCATGGATTTAGGTATCTATCAGGGGTGGGGAGCACTCTAGTACAAGCAGACAGTCTCCTCTGGTGTGTAACTTACCACAGGTAGGGTGAGCCATGTTGCCACAAGGCGGTTGTTGATCCAGCGATACCAAGATGGGTTTACAAACATCAAAGGTAAAAAGGGACTCAGCATGAAAATGCTTCCAAAAAAGCTTCCCCAAAACAGAGTCAGTATAAAGTAAATCCCTTTCCATGACACCATGATTCTGAAAGATATAAAAAAGGATATATTTTGTTACTATACATTTAACGGCTCGAATTCAATTTCAGGATGATGGAGCATAGAATGATCACTAATTTTAGGGCTACAGAAAGGCTCTAAGAAACAATATAAGAGTCTGAATTTCAAAGAGGTGACCCTCCTACATGCTCTACTGGTCTAACAAGTTGCCAGTACATTAGAAATTGATATTCTCTGGTCGGGTGCGGCGACTCACGCTGCAATCCCAGCACTTTAGGAGGCTGAAGCAGGTGGATCACTTGAGGCCAGGAGTTCGAGACCAGCCTGGCCAACATGGTGAAACCCCATCTCTACTAAAAATACAAAACTTAGCCAGCTGCGGTAGTGTGCCTGTAATCCCAGCTACGTGGGAGGCTGAGGTAGATGTTACAGTGAGCCAAGATCGCACCACTGCACTCCAGCTGGGACGACAGAATGAGACAGTTTCAAAAAAAAAGAAACTGATACTCTCAACAGAGCAAATATCTGACCTCCAAAAAGAGTTATCTAGTTTAAGAAGCCTTTTTTTTTTAACATAAAACCATATATTTTCTTTTCTAAGGTGTTATCTAACACAAACTCATAAAATATTCCAGAGTTTTTTCCTACCCAGAAGTAGAAGCAATTGACTAAAAACTACAGATGAGTTTCCTAAGTTGAGTACAACGGTCCCCACTTTGGATCCATTCCAAGACCCCCAGTAGATGCCTGAATCACAGATAGTACTAAACCCTACATATACATTACATACATACCATGATAAAGTTTAACTTACAAATTAGGCGTGGTGAGAGATTAATAACTATTATTAATAAAGTATTAAGTAAAATAAAGGTTCCTTGAACACAAGCACTGCTATACCTCGACAGTCAATCTGATCACCGAAACTGCTATTAAGGGACTAAGAGGCAGGTAGCATAGCATATATTGTATCAATGCACTGGACAAAGGGATAATTCACGTCCTGGATGCGACGAGAGAGGCATGGCATCAGATTTCATCCTGCTACTCAGAATGGCACACAAATTTAAAACCCATCAGTTGTTTATTTCTGGAATTTTCCATATAACATTCAAACCACAGTTGACTGTGGGTAACTCAAACCATGGAAAGCAAAACTGTGGTTAAGGAGGGGACTACTATACACCTAAAAACAATGACAAGTTAGCAGAGTACATTGAAATTTTTTAAAATCCAGAAATATTAATTCTTTATATTAGAATCTGAAAATAACATCTTGGGTACTTGGTCTTTAATTGACTCTTTATGAGTTGAAGGATTAAGTAGAACTTAGACTCTTCACTGGCTATTTCCAAAGGATTACTGTAGGGGGTCCTCATAGCCAGAACATCATACAGATGTTTTAAAATAAATGCTTGTTGGAAACACACAGTCTAAAATGAATAAACATTTGATTTTACAACCTAAACTATGTTAGAGAAAAACTGTGTTTTGCCTCAGAATAAAATTTTTAGAAACATTAAAACGATGAAAAAAAAACAGCCTTATAATCTATATAGCAAAAAGGTATCTGAGAGATCAAGACCTCTGAATATTTTAAAAGAATCACAACAGGAAACAGAATACATTTTCAAACGTCATGGTGCTTTTGAAAAATGTCAGACAGACAAACAACAAAACAGGTCAAATCCCTTAAAACACACAATCAAGACTGACTACTAAGTTTTTGTTTGTTTGTTTGTTTTGAGATTGCGTCTCACTCTGTCGCTAGGCTGAAGTACAGTGGTGCGATCTGGGCTCACTGCAAGCTCTGCCTCCCGGGTTCAAGCGATTCTCCTGCCTCAGCCTCCGGAGTAGCCAGGATTACAGACACGCGCCACCACACTCATCTGATTTTTGTATTTTTAGTAAAGACACGGTTTCACCATGTTGGCCAGGGTGGTCTGGTTCTCTTGACCTCATGATCTGCTCGCCTCAGCCTCCCAAAATGCTGGGATTACAGGCGTAAGCCACTGTGCCCAGCCGACTATTTTTAAATTTCTACTGATACTTGACAGTACGTGTACAAAATCCTTCAAAGTACAAACTGAATAAATATCAACTAAGAGCTGGCTTTTTGCTAAACTCTAGACCTAAACTTTAAAGAAGTGGGGTAACGGAGTAATAATGGTAGAGAAAAAGGCCACTGGAAAGCAGCATGCTGAACAATTCCCAGAGCTCACACATGGGGCCTAGAGTGGTCTGTGTTACCACCTATCCTCAACTTTGTTTTCTCTGAGGCTCAGGTCCTCCTCTTTGCGTTGATGACACTATAGCTAGCTTCTCCCCAGAAAAAAAAAAAAAACCTACGAACATCTTAATTTGGTATTGTTAATGCCTACTTCCTTTTATACACCCACCCCGCCCCCCAGTCCTGCAACGCTGCTGCTCTGTTTGAAACCCTGTAACTACCGTTTTCTATCTACTGTTTTTTTTTCTGCCAATTAGTGATTAGCTAGCTCTGTTTAACACTCACCCCTCAACTCCCTGCAGAGCTACACTTCACGTTGTATCCATATATAATGCTTCCCTTATCAAGGCTCTGGCATGCTTCTTCCTCACCAATTTCTGATTTGATGTGATTAACAGAAAAAAAATAAATTAGCTATCATATAATAAAATATTTTCATTATGCAGTGATGAAGCTGAGGCTCAGGAGAGTTAAGAAGACTTTCCTAAATCCACACAACAAATTAGTAGCATCAAATCTTTTCTGCTTACTGCTTCTTCTGCTATATCATGCTCTCTTTCTCCTGCGAAGGGGCCAGAAATTAGCCCTGAAATATGTCTCTAAACTCAGACTTAAGCAGGTAGAAAGGTGTGTGTCACATGAATATACTGGGATTACTCAGACCAAATCTAATCTAAAATTACTTCTATCCTACTTCTATTCCTTCCCTTTCAATCATTTGTTGATTTTCAATGATTCAATAAACATACAAAGATATCCCAATTACCGTGTGCCAGGCACTATGTTAGTCATCTGGGGATTACAACAGTGAATATGACAGAAATTGCAAAGCTCTCACAAATCTGATGGTCTCTCCATCTCTTCCTTATGAGCTCCTATGTGACTCTGCATTTAATCCAGCCCTATTCTTTATCTTCTTCCAAGTCTCAAGAGTTTGATGGACAAACTTGGTTCCAAATTATGCTAGCTATACACTTATTTGGAATAGCTAAAAAAAAAAATTTTAAAACAATAAAACCACTGACAATACCAGGAGCTGACAAGGATATGCAGCAACCAGAACTTGCAAACATTGCTGGTGGGAATGCAAAATGGGATGGCCACTTTGGAAAAGTTTGGTAGTTTCTTAAAATCCTAAATATACACTTACAATAAAACCCAGAAATTCTACTGAATATCCAAGACAAATGAAAATGTATATTCACACAAAAACCTATACGTAATTATTCACAGCAGCATTATTCATAATTACCAAAAACTGGAAACCAGCCAAATGTCAGTCAGGGAGAATGGATAAACAAAACCGTAGTACATCCACACAATGGCATACTACTCAGAATAACGACAAACTACTGATCCATGCAACATGTTGAGTTAATCTCAAATGTATTATGCTGAATGAAAGAGGCCAGACTCAAAAGATATGATTTTAAAATCTTTTACTGGATTATTTCATTTATATGACATTCCAGACAAGGCAAACCCAAAGGATAAGGAAACAGATCAGCGGTTGGCAAAGATTACAAGTAGGGAGATGGTTTGACTACAAAGAAACAACACAATATAAGTTTAGGGGGTTGGTCCAGCGGTGGCTCATGCCTGTAATCCCAGCATTTTGGGAGGCCAAGGGGAGCAGATCACGAGGTCAGGAGATCGAGACCATCCTGGCCAACATGAGGAAACCCCATCTCTACTAAAAATACAAAAATTAGCTGGGCATGGTGGCGCGTGCCTGTAATCCCAGTTACTAGGGAGGGTGAGGTAGAAGAATCGCTTGAACCTGGAGTCAGAGGTTGCAGTGAGCCAAGATGGTGCCACTGCACTCCAGCCTGGTGACAGAGTGAGACTCCCTCTCAAAAAAAAAAAAAAAAAAAAAAAAAAAAAAAAAAGAAGAAGTAGTTTAGGGGGTTGAGGAAACTGTTCTATTTCCTAGTTAGGTCACATTACAGCAAAGCTGTCCTGATCCAGACCCCAAAAGAGAGTTCTTGGATCTCGCCCAAGAAAGAATTCAGGGTGAGTCCACGGTGCAACCTGAAACCAAGTTTATTAAGAAAGTAAAGGAATAAAAGAATGGCTACTCCACAGACAGAGCAGCCCTGAGGGCTGCTGGTTGCCCATTTTTATGGTTATTTCTTGATGATATGCTAAACAAGGGATGGATTATTCATGCATTCCCTTTTTAGACCTTATAGGGTAACTTCTTGACATTGCCCTGGCATTTGTAAACTGTCATGGTGCTGGTGGAAGTGTAGCAGTGAGGACCACCAAAGGTCACTCTTGTCGCCATCTTGGTTTTGGTGGGTTTTGGCCAGCTCCTTAACTGCAACCTGTTTTATCAGCAAGGTCTTTATGACCCGAATTTTGTGGTGACCTCCTATCTCATCCTGTGACTCAGAATGCCTTAACTGTCTGAAAATGTAGCCCAGTAGGTTTCAGCCTCATTTTACCCAGCTCCTATTTAAGATGGATTTGTTCCAGTTCACACATCTCTGACAGTCACAAGACTATACACATTTGTGAAAATCCATAGAAAGTATATTTTTTAAAAAAGTGAACTTTACTGTTTGTAGATTTTTAAATAAATTTTTAAAAAATTATGCTATGTATATAAAAATCTGACAATATTTACTATTCTCTTATAATACGGGGAATTCTAATTTTCTGGATTATTTCAACTATAGTAACACCTAAAATGTATATAGCTTTTAAAATATTTCAGGCACTGTTTCATATATTTTACATGCCGACCTGTTCACCAGTCACAGCAATCTCATAATGTAGGTATTTTCATTACCTTAATTTTACATATAACGATACTGAGGCAGCAAGGGGTTAAGGAACTTACTTAAGGCTACACAGCTAGTAAATAACAAAACTGGAACTTTAAGCCAGGTAACTTGGTGTCAGAGTCCACACTCAGTCTGAAATGTTACACTACGCTTCCTTTTCAAGCCATGTATTACATCTGTAGTTAAATATACACCTATTTTTAAATAGCCTATAAAATAAAGATGTTACAATTATAAACTAAATTTTTAATACCTCATACAAAACTTATTCTGAATTTTAGAATTTATACAAACTTAGTGAGATAGCCTTATGTCTTTCTTATCTTACTGTTACTGGCAGGTGTTTGTTCTTAGAACTCCCAAGATGGTGGTGGGCCGCTCCCAAGATGGCAGCAAGCCTTTTGCTCTCTGACCTGGGGGGTTCTTGGCCTCACGGATTCCAAGGAATGGAACCTTGGGCCATGCGGTGAGTGTTACAACTCCATTAGAAGCTGTGGGTCCCGGAAGAGAACTGTGGAACCCAGAGACAAGTGTTCAGCTCGAGTAGGACAAACCCGCGCACTTAGCCGCACAGAAACAATGGCGAGCCTCTACCTGATCGGGAGCGGCAATGGGCACCTCCCCGGATCAGAAGCGCAGCGGACACGGTGCCAGATCCAGAGGGGTGAAAGTCAATGGCCAGTCTGAGAAGGTGGCATTCAGCAGTGGTGGATGGTGAGCAAAAGCTCAGCTCGAACAGTAACAAACGTGGACCAGAAGAGTGTGTGGTTCCAAGATTTAACAGAGTGAAACCAAAGCTCCCATACAACGGGAGGGGACCCAAAGGTGCTTGCCACTGCTGGTTCGAATGCCTGGGTTTATATCCTGATCACTGTCCCTCCCCGGGTGCTCTCAGGTGATAGATGATTGACTATTTCTTTACCTCCTGCTTTTAGCCTAATGGGCATTTTAGTGAGCTCTCTTTACTACCTGACTGGTCAGGTGTGAGCTGAGTTACAAGCCCCATGTTTAAAGGTGGGTGAGGTCACCTTCCCCAGCTAGGCTTAGGAATTCTTAGTCGGCCTAGGAAATCCAGCTAGTCCTGTCTCTCAGTCCCCCCTCTCAACAGGAAAACCCAAGTGCTGTTGGGGAGGTTGGCTGACGACCACTCTAACTGCTTCCTGCTGAACTGGGGCATAGTAGGGGTTGTGCAGTTGAGATTTCCTCGGTAGGGGAGCCTTTGATGTCATCAACATCAGAGCATGGGCTAGCAGGCCGGTCCAGGGGTCCACGGTAGATCTTAGTCATGGACTGCATCTGGGGCTCCATTTAAAGAACGATTTGTAGTTTTACAGCATCAATTCTGGAAGAGACAAACTTAACAAGGAGGTTAAAGATACAGGGATTGAAATGTATGGCCTGAAGTGCAGGGTGAGGCACATCCAACAGTTAGTAGGGTTTTGGGATGAGCATAAGCCAGTATAAGCTGGATGTGTTCCTCAGTGAGGGCCCAGGTGCCTTTGGATAATTTTAGCCCTAAGTATTTAACCTGCTGTGAGTAGAGGTAAGCCTTTGGTTTGGAAACCTTGTAGCCACAGGTGGCGAGGAACTTTAAGAGTGTTTGGGTGGCTTAATGGCACAAGGTTTCTGAACAGGTGGCTAAAACTAAATCATCCACATACCAAAGGACAAGAGTGTCCAAGTATGAGAACTGACTCAAGTCTTGGGCTAATGCCTGGCCAAATAGATGGGGGCTAGCCCTGAACCCTTGGGGTAAAACAGTCCAGGTGAGTTGAGATGTTGGTTCGAAGGATCATCAAAGGCAAACAAGAATTGAGAGTCAGGATGTACAGGGATACAGAAAAAGGCATCCTTAAGGTCCAGGACTGTAAACCATTCTGCTTCCTCTGGTATTTGGGAAAGTAGAGTATAAGGGTTAGGTACAGCTGGGTATAGAGGGACAACGGCCTCATTGATAATCCTGAGATCTTGCACTAACCTCCACTGTCCGTTGGGCTTCTGCACTCCTAAAATTGGAGTACTGCAGGGGCTATTGCATGGCCTTGGGCTTTTAGGTCCTTTGCTATTACTAAGACTTTGTTTAGTCTAAATTAACTTAGAATTGGTATAGATGGTTCCTTCCTGGTTCTGTAAGTACTTTAAGGCTTGGCTGAGTGCAAACAGCTCGCACGTTTGAGCAGACCAATTATTAGACAATTTTTCTAACTCTGCTTCTACAAGAGTTTTCCTATCAATTACTGAATACCCATTGTGTTTTTTTCCCTCAATCACCCGGGAGGAACTATTTATTGTCCTGTCCTCAAGGAAGTTCCTCCTAGGTCTGGTTAGAACTTTGTATAGTAATAAGATTTAAATCCCGTTAGGAAATCTGCTGGGTTAAGGGAATTTTCAGTGGTTAATGTTAAATCATCTTTTTCTAAAGAACAGCCCGATACTTTAAGATTTTTGAGTCAGTAAGCTACCTTTTTGCCTTTTTTACTTAGGGTATTTCTGAACTGGTGAGGTATGCTCATAATGAGGTTTCCTCTAAAGTTATTCTTCTACTTTCTTCTGCTAGCAAAGCAGTTGCTGCTACAGATTGAATGCATTTGAGCCATCTGTGGGTTATTGGGTTAAGGATTTTTGATAGGAAGGCTACGGGTTGTCAGTGGCCTCAGCGCTTTTGGCTACACCCTTGTTTACACTGATAACAAGGTGGTATTGGAGTGTTACAGGGTCACGGAGAGGATCTTCAATTATCAATTATAGGTTTTAAATTTACCCTGGCTTTTAAAGGAATAGGGTACACTTTTTTCTTTACTACTTCTCTTTCTTTCTCTCTCTGACTTTCTGTCTCTCTCTGACTCCCTTTGTTTCTCTACCTCTTTCTCTCTTTTTCCCCTCTCTTTCTCCCTTCCCTTTGGTAGATGGATTTTGGGAACACAGCAGAAGGACATTTGCTCGTTGCCCCCATTTGCCACTATAGGAATATGCTCCTCCCTTTAATTTATTCAATTTGCTTTCATCCTGATCTATTATGTTGTTGTAGACCCAGTTCCAGTTGTTAAAGTACTGGGTTACCAGTTCTAAGGCCCTGGCCAAGGAGCTGAGGCTTGGAGATTGCATTGCAGGTGGGGGTAAGCTGGGTAGAAATTGGGGGAGGAGAGCATCTTACACAATGGGAGAGCAATCCTCCTAGCCATTTACAAATTTGGGGCCCTGGCAAGGGTGGTGAGGAACGGGTCCCACCTAACTACCCACGTCGAGGGCTGTATACCTAAATTGGGAGAGACACCAGGGGCAAGACTCCCTGGGTTCATAGCCTAGGTGCCTAAGGATGCAGTGTAGAGCTTCTCTAGATCCCTTTGGAGATACAACTTGCTCTAATACCTGGGAGAGGGAGTGAAAGTCTGAAGCATTAGTACCTAGGAGGCAGGGACTGGAGGAAGTAGATTCAGAGGTAAGGAGAATTTTGGGGCTACACTTTCAAGAAAGTGGTGGTTGGGACCCAGGAGGTATGGGTCAAAAGGAGAGGTAGGGGTGCCTGCATGGGCGACTGTGGAGTAGAGACTTCTGGCTGCACCATGATCTCGACTGGCCAATGCCGGGAATTCAGGATGACAGTTTTCTGCTTCTAGTCGGCCCTCAGCTTCCCCAGGAAAATTGTAAAAGCGGAAGCTGGTTCCAGGCAGACCAATGCTCCCAACTCAGATGGGGGCTGTTCGCCTTTTCCCAGAAAGCCTCACACCTGAGTCTTAAGTCCAGCAGCCATGCTAATCATTTTTAAATGGTCAACAGCTGCCCAGTATTTTCCTCTGATTCTAAGGAAGGATAGGACAGAATAGCAAGTCAAAGTGGTCCAGTATTACTCAGGGCTTTGGAGAATCCCTGTACAGGCCACCAGATGTTACTGGTGGGTCTTTGTTCTTAGAGCTCTCAAGATGATGGCAGGCTGCTCCCAAGATAGCAGCAAGCCTTTTGCTCTCTGACCTGGGGTTCTTGGCCTCAAGGATTCCAAGGAATGGAACCTTGGGCCACGAGGGGAGTGTTATAGCTCTGTTAGAAGCCGTGGGTCACAGAACAGAACCGTGGAACCCAGCGACTAGTGTTCAGCTCTACTAGGATGAATGCATGCACTTAGCCGCGCAGAAACAATGGCAAGCCTCTAGCCTGATCAGGAGCGGCAATGGGCGCCTTGCTGCATCAGAAGCGCAGCAGACACCTTGCCGGATCCAGAGCGGTGAAAGTCAATGGCGGGTCTGCGACGGCGACGTTCAGCAGTGGTGGACGGCGAGTGAAAGCTCAGCTTGAGCCCTAACAAACATGGACCAGAAGAGTGTGCAGTTGCAAGATTTAATAGAGTGAAAACAAAGCTCCCATACAATGGGAGGGGATCCAAAGGGGGTTGCCACTGCCAGTTCGAATACCTAGGTTTATATCCTGATAGTTGTCCCTCCCCCTGTGCTCTCAGGCGATAGATGACTATTTCTTTACCTCCTGCTTTTAGCTTAACGGGTATTTTAGTGAGCTCTCTGTTACCTGATTGGTCAGGTGTGAGCTGAGTTACAAGCCCCATATTTAAAGGTGGATACAGTCACCTTCCCCAGCTAGGGTTAGGAATTCTTAGTCGGCCTAGGAAATCCAGCTAGTCCTGTCTCTCATTACTATCCCTCAATACCTAACGTAATGTATAGCACACCAAAACTTGGGGAAGGGCAAGGAATGGGAGTTGCCAGCTTCTGCTGGAAGAAAATTGGGTTAAATAACTGACAAATTAAATATTTAATCTTTAAAAACCCTTTAAAATAAAAAACGCCATGATTGAAAAGTAATTAAAAACACTGCAATTTAGTATCATGTTTTGTGCATTCTTTGTATAATACTGATACTGTTTTTAAAAAGACATTTGAAAACTAAGTGCAGTTTTAAAAGGGCATATAACATTTTATTGACAAATAACAGAGATAGAGAAGTGAACTGTAGATAATCCTGAAAAACTATGCCTACTTCAAGTGTAACCTAACAAGTTTTTCCAAATGACCACTTTCCTTTCAGCGAATTAACAACAATCTTAATAACCTCACTAATAACTGTGTACGTTATTCTTTAAGTTAACATATGACAGTGTGGGAGGACACTCCCTGACAAAGATTAATGGACTCCATTAAGGATACCTATAGTTCCTTGCTCAGGAAGGAAACATTTTCATAGAATCTCCTTAGTTATTTTATTCACATAACAAGTCAAGTGTTAGCAACTAGCGTTACTCTCAGAGTCTAATGGGGAAGCTAAGTACGAAAATAAATGATTGCAATTCACTGTGATACATGCTGTAATAGAGGGATAGGAGGTATGCAACAGGTGTTAAGGGTAGATCAAAGTAGACAAGATGAACTCTGCTAACAGGGATTAAAGAAGGCTTTAGACTCTTGGAGGAAAAGTGGTTGTGGGAGGGGAGAGAATACTCCAGGCAATAACCTACAGAGTCACAGAAATTTGAAACAGCATGGCTTAATCAGAAAACTTTTTAAACTCATATTACTGAGGTATAGGTATACAATGGGGGCAGTGGGGGAGCGGGGGTTACAACAACATAGGCCTGAGGGAGAAAGTACACACACCCAGGCCAGGATGGCCAAGAAAACCACATTTGCCAGGTCACTAGGGGTGGAGGAAAAATATCTAAGGCATATGAGTCATGTTTTAGGATAAATGTTAAAAGTGAAATGTATATAAACGTTTCAAAAGTGAAATGTATATAAACATGAACTCAATCAGTATACAGATTGATTTTGTTAAGAGCCTGCTCTGGATCCAAACAGAGAGTGCATGGGACTTGTTGGCAAAAATCCCAGGACTGACAGACGCTGGTATCACAGAGGTCTGTGATGCAGCTCCAACACTCAACAGCCAGAGGATCACAACCACATTACTTAACCTGGACACCTCACTTATAAAGTTAGGAGGTTAGGGGAAAACCTCTCTGGGGCCTCTACTAACACAGAAATTCTAAATATAGGCTACCTTTTGACCACCGAATACCTATCAGGAACTTTACAGAGGGCTCTTGGTATTTACATATTTAACATCTAGAGATTCAACTATTCATGAATAATCCAAAGGTCATAACATGGAAGTAATCTGCTGAAACTCAAAACTGAATTGTGAACACTGCAAGGCTGATGTCAAAAAACAAACCATTTAGGTAGTAATTAATGACTCTGGCCAACTGTCTAGTATCCTAATCTCAAAAAGCCTTTATTCTGTTCTACTTACTTCATAAGCACTTCTTGGGGGAAGTGATATGCTACAATAGATTTGTAAATGTGAAGGTTCAAAAGGACCTTGTTATGTCCCTTGACAATGTCAAGTATGTCCTAAAATAGGCACTTTACATTCTCACCTCATCCAAACAAAAGCCTCAAAAGCAAGTTGCTGATTTATCAGTAGTACTTACAAGTAAAGGAATGAAAGATTTAGTTCCATTAACGAGTCCCTGACACTGTTTATATTGAGAGAGCTAAGAGAACCTATAACCAAGGAGATTCTCAGAAAATGCAGTTGTGAGCCCCCAAAATTTGAGACAGGTCTCAGTTAATTTAGAAAGTTTATTTTACCAAGGTTGAGAACAGGCACCCGTGACACAGCCTCAGGAGGTCCTGAAGGCACGTGCCCAAGGTGGTCAGACCACAGTTTGGTTTTATACATTTTAGAGAGACATGAGACATCAATCAACACATGTAAGATGAACATTTGGTTCTATCTGGAAAGGCGGGACAACTCGAAGCAGGGAGGGGGCTTCCAGGTCATAGGTAGATAAGAGACAAATGGTTGCATTCTTTTGAGTTTCTGATTAGCCCCTCCACAGAAGGCAAGCAGATATGTATTTATCTCAGTTAGCAGAGGGGTGACTACGAATAGAATGGGAAGCAGGTTTGCTCTAAGCAGTTCCCAGCTTGACCTCTTCCTTTAGCTTAGTGATTTGGGGGGCCCAAGATATTTTCTTTTCACAGAGAAAAGAATCCAAAACTGCAGAGAGTTTAAAGGCCAAAAAGTAAATAATGAATAATAAAAGCATATAATGAATTAAGCATATTGTTTAAGCAAATGCAAACTCATTCATTCATGAGACTAGGGGTCAATAAAGTACACACAAAACCACTCAACTACATTATACTAAAGTTGCACTTCTTGCATTTTTTACTCTAGTAACTAGGGAACCCTAGAAATTCCCCATTTTTTCCAAAAATGCAGGAAAATGAAAATTAACTTGTGCTGACTTATATATACATATATTTATTGATATTTATATATTTAAATACATATAGTTAAATGTAGCAAACAGTATATTTATATATAACTACACATTAATAATTAATCTAAACTCAGTTTAGATTCAACAAATTTTCCAGTGAAAAACCCTAACACATCTTTTGTGAAATATGTTCATTAGTAATCAGTAAAATATAAATTAAAGTACCATTTTCCTTCTATCTCATTAGAAAAACTGAAAATATTCACAATATTTAACATTAGCAGGGCTATAGATACAAATGTATTTTTCTATCCTGCTACTAAGACTGTAAATTAAGTACCACCCTTTAAGTTAGTAATAAGGCAGTACTTGTCAAGACAGAAATGTGCATTTTTAATTAATAATTATATTTCAAGAACTCTATCACGCAGAAATATTTATAGGAGTACACAGAGAAATGGATACAACATTGTTCATGTAAGTATAATTTGTAATAATAAACAGTGGGCAATAATAAAGCCTACCAATAAGAGAAGGGGGAACATTTATTTTAACATTTATTATGAAATACTAAGCAGGCATTCAAGAGAATAAGGAAACTCACATCATCTGATATGACTGGGTATCCTTGACATTCAGTAAATAAAACCGATTGCAAAATATAATAGATGGCATGATCCCATTTTTGCCTTAAGCCAAATTTTTTAAAAATGTGTACATCTATGTATATTTGTGTATGTGAGTACATGTATTTCTAGGTGTATTAATAGGTCTGATTTCAACAGAGGGGCATAGTAAACTCAAGATTATGCCACAAAGAGGCTATCTGGAGATAAATATCCTCTCCTTAATCTCCATCCACCCTTTTATCTCCTTCGAGGGCTTCCTTCCCCTTGACCTCACCCAACTGGAAATAAGAGAAAAGTGTGCCCCCTGGGTCTCTTGAGGCAGACAAAAGAAAAGAATGGAGAGCGTGTCCAGAGGGCAAAGAGAAGACATCCAGCAGAACAATATCAACATAAGGAAAATGAGGAGTTACAAAGCATTATCTAGAATATGATAACCTTTTATATATACATTATACAGTGGTTAATTTTTTCTATTTTTGCTTACATAAATTTATTAATTTTGATAAAAACAAATGTGTCATGAAATAAAATAAGAATTCCAAAAAACTAAAAACAAAACTAAAAAGGTCTGAAGAGTTTCATATTAAGATGAAATATCTAATTGTGCTCTCTCAAAAAACACACTAAAAATCCCACACCTACAAAGAATAACCAAAAAAAGAACAACATTTTAAAAGCTGGAAAGCAGAAAGCCAAATGTTGACTATCCTGGCTGACCTGCAAAGACAAAGTGTAAGCCAGCAGAGGAAAAAGTTGAAAACAAACCCACAGAATCCTCCTAAGGCCTAGGAGGCGGAAGCATCAGGTACTGCTGGATGCAAATGGAGATGAATGGCAGTTTGCCAAAATAAAGAGGATTAGGTAATGAGTGAGGGGCAGGTGGATTCCTAGATTCCCTTCTCTCTCTGCACCTCTGGGTAACTGTCCCTCTCCTACCGCAGCATAAACTTGCATGTCTATTCTCTAGAGAAGGTAAAACAGAGTTTCCCAATTAGGAAATGCACAGTTTAGGGCATGGTCACCACTCTAAGAACAGTGGGATTAAGTGACCATATACATGCTGAATCCTGAATGCTAAAACCTCAGACCATCTTCCCTGGATGAGCTCTCAGATGGCTGGCAACAAGATCTTTGGTCCTATGCCAGTTGTCCTATAGAATATTCTGCAATGATGGAAATGTTCCCTAGTTATGCTGTCCAAAACTGCAGCCATTAGCTACATGTAGCTATTGAGCATCTGAAATGTGGCTAGTGCCATTGAAGAAATGAATTTTTAACTTAATTATATTTCAATTTAAATAGCTACATGTGGGTAGTGGCCACAGTATTGAACAGCACAGTCCTAGGCAGAAGACAGGAGTGTACTCTCTGGGATGTCTGACCAGGCTATGAGGAAAGACAAAAATACAGAAACAGGCCAGGCGCGGTGACTCATGCCTGTAATCCTAGCACTTTGGGAGGCCGAGGCGGTCAGATCACTTGAGGTCAGGAGTTCGAAAATACAGAAACATTGAGGGATTCCCTAATAAACAGCCCACATAAATCACCCCTCAGTAAAGCCCAAAGTTCACAAGCCTCACCTACGTGCAAGCCTCTACTGGCTTTCTAAATCACCCATTTTTTATTAGGAACAGATAATGAGACTTCTGAGCAAACACTCTAACATGACATTAGAGACTAAATTAAACAGAAAAAAAAGTATACTTGAAGGAAATAAACTATTCAGGGGAAAAGAAAACTTCAAAGAAAACTATCTTTAACATTTTCAAAAAGACAATAAATACTGCAATCAGGAAACAATAACATGTTCTTGTGGGAAAATAAAATGAAGAAAGGAAATATCCAGAGAATAAAAGAGCTACTGAAAGTTTAAAACAGCAAAAATGATTAGCAAAAATTATACACGACCAAAGAGTTAGAAAATAAAGTTGAGAAAAAATCTCCCAAAAAGCCCAGCAGAAGATAAAGAGATGGAAAGCAGAAAGAATATATGAAAGGGCCAAGACACGAGGTCCCATATGCCAGTAATACAAGGGCCAAAAAGAGTTGTGAGAAATTGGAGAGGGGGAAATCAGCAACAACAATCTCAAAAAAATTCCCCGGAACCGGAGAAAATGACATTCCACATTAACAGAGCCTACTAATAGCAAAGATAATGGATGAAAACAGATGTTCACCAAGGAATACCACTGTAACTTACAGAAGAGTGGAGACAAAGAACGTTCCACAAACCTTCTAGAAAGGAAAAAACAGGTTACATACAAAGGATTAAAAATTAGACCAGCTTTGAACATCTCAGCAGCCAATACCAGGAGCAAGACAAAAACAGAACAAAAACTTTAAGATTCTAAAGAAAATTATTTCCAACCCGTCCCTGTAGCAAGTGTTAGAGTAGTTGGTAGAAAAACACTGTCAGACATGCCAGGTGTAAAAGTGACTTCCCATACAATCTTTTAAAAAGAAGCTACTGGAAAATGGGCTCCACTAAAAGAAGTAAACAAAGACTAAGGGAGATCTGAAATACAGCAAGTAAGAGATCATCATAGATGAGAGGTCAAGAAGGATGATCCTGAAAGGGAGATTTCAGGGTGACAACTATACATTAGATAGAGAAGGCATTCGGTCCAAATTCTGAGAGGATGGCACAAAAGGAAGACTCTCTGAAAGTTGTTATCACCAAAATCCTTGCTACTAAACAAACCATCTGTTTGAGTCAAGAATAGAGTGTCCAGGTGAACCTGGCACAAATCCTAATCTGTACTTGGCTTCTTGACCATGTGCTAATAAAATTCCTGCTCTCCCTGCCACATTTGGCTTCCACATCAGCTGATGACACTGATTTTATCTGTCATATAGCACTCTGCTTTGTTGGGCGTCGTGGCTTATGCCTGGAATCCCAGCACTTTGAAAGGCCAAGGCGGGTGGATCATTCGAGGTCAGGAGTTTGAGACCAGCCTGACCAACATGCAAAACCCCACTCTACTAAAAATACAAAAATTAGCCAGGCATGGTGGCATGCATCTGTAGTCCCAGCTACTTGGGAAGCTGAGGCAGGAGAATCATTTGAACCCAGGAGGCAGAGGTTGCAGTGATCAGGCCACTGCACTCCAGCCTGGGGGAGACAATGAGACTCTGCCTTAAAAAGAAAAAAAAAAAGTATTCTGCTTTGACCTAATCCTGAAATATGGAGACAACACATGGTGAATTTAGAAACAAAATATATTCCCACTGGACAGCTATACTATTCAACACCCCATTCATGTTGAAAACTCTCAATAACTGGGCTTTTAAGGAACATACCTCAAAATAATAAGAACCATCTATGACAAAAACCACAGCCAATATCATACTGAATGGACGAAAGTGAAGGCATTCCCCTTGATAACTGGCACAAAACAAAGATGCTCTCTCACTACTCCTATTCAACATAGAATTGGAAATCCTGGCTGAACAATCAGGCAAGAGAAAGAAATAAAGAGCATCCAAATAGGAAGAGAGGAAGTCAAACTATCCCTGTTTGCAGATGACATGAACCTATATCTAGAAAACCCAAAGTCTTGGCCCAAAAACTCCTTAAGCTGATAAACAACTTTAGCAAAGTCTCAGGATACAAAATCAATGTATAAAAATCACTAATATTCCTATATACCAACAATAGTCAAGCTGAAAGCCAAATCAAAAACCCAATCCCATTCACAATTGCCACAAAAAGAATAAAATAACTAGGAATACAGTTAATCAGTAAGGTGAAAAGATTTCTACAAGGAGAACTACAAAACACTGCTCAAAGAAATCAGAGATGACACAAACAAATGGAAAAACATTTCATGCTCATGGATAGAAAGAATCAATATCATTAAAATGGCCATACTACACAAAGTAATTTATAGATTCAATGCTATTCCTATTAAACAACCAATGACATTCTTCACAGAACTAGAAAAAAACTATTTTAAAAATCATATGGAACCAAAAAAGAGCCCAAAGAGCTCTTCACTTTTTGCTTAGGCAATCCTAAGCAAAAAGAACAAAGTTAGAAACATCATGCTACCCAACTTAAAACTATATTACAGGGCTACAGTAACCAAAACAGCATGGTACTGGTACAAAAACAGACACATAGACCAATGGAACAGAATAGAGAACCCAGAAATAAGGCATCACGCCTACAACTATCTGATCTTCAACAAAGCTGACAAAAACAAGCAATGGGGAAAGGACTCCCTATTCAATAAATGGTTCTAGAAGAAGACTGAAACTGGACCCCTTCCTTACACGATATACAAAAAATCATCTCAAGATGGATTAGAGACTTAAATATAAAACTCAAAACTATAAAAACCCGGAAGGCAATACTATTCTGGACATAGGAACTGGCAAAGATTTCATGACAAAGATACCAAAAGTAACTGCAACGAAAGCAAGAACTGACAAACGAGATTTCAGAAAACTAAAAACTTTTGCACAGCAAAAGAAATTATCAACAGAGTGAACAGACAACTAACGGAAAGGGAAAAAATTTTTTCAAACTATGCATCTAACAAAGGTCTAATATCCAGCATCTATAAAAAACTTAAACTTACAAGAGAAAAACCCATTAAAAAGTGCGCAAAAGACATGAACAGACACTTTTCAAAAGAAGACATACATGTGGCCAACGAGCATATGAGGAAAAAGCTGAACATCACTGATCATTACAGAAATGCAAATCAAAACCACAATTAGATACCATTTCACACCAGTCAGAATGGCTATTACTAAAAAGAAAAAATAACAGGTGCTGACGAGGTTGCAGAGAAAAATGAATGCTTATATGCTACTGGTGGGAGTGTAAATTAGTTCAACCATTGTGTTAAACAGTGTGGCAATTCTGCAAAGACCTAAAAACCCACAGACCCCTTACTGGATATATACCCAAAGAAGTATAAATTCTTCTATCATAAAGACACATGCATGTGTATGTTCACTGCAGCTATTCACAATAGCAAACACATGGAATCAACCTAAATGCCCATCAATGGTAGACTGGATAAAGAAAATGTGGTACAAATACACCAGGGAATACTATGCAGCCATAAAAAAGAATAAGATCATGTCCTTTGCAGGAACATGGATGGAGCTGGAGACCATTATCCTAAGCAAACTAACGCAGGAACAGAAATCCAAATACCACATGCTCTCACTTATAAATGGGAGCTAAAGGCTAAGAACACATTGACACACAGAGGGGACACTGGGGCCTACTGAAGGGTAGAGGGTGGGAGTCAATCAGGAAAAATAACTAACAGGTACTAGGCTTAATACCTGGGTGACAAAATAATCTGTTTAACAAACCCCCATGACACAAGTTTACCTATATAACAAACTTGCACATGTAAACCTGAACTTAAATAAAAATATTTAATAAAAAATTTGAAAAGACATCAGTTAATCCCTGTTAAAATTATTTTTTGTTGTAATCTCTAATCAAATACTCTACTAGAAAAGCAATCCTTGGGAGTCAGTTAAAACAAATATATCAGACAACTTTATAATTTTTCCAAGACAACTATAAGCAACACATTGATTTTGATTCAAATGACAAAATCAAATACATAAAATTAAAGTGAACACTAACGTCAATTATTGCATATATAGTATATGCATATACAATAACAGTCATTATTACAATTATCATTAGCAATAAAAATAGAAATATTTTAAAAGACAGCTAAAATAATCAGAACCTGATTACTGAGATTATTCTGCAATCTGAAGGAATTGAAATATGTTCATTATTTATGCACCACTCTTCTTGTAAGCTTCACAACCAGACACAGTCAAACTGATTGTTTTTTTCCATAAACGTTAGTGAAATATTTATGAGCTAATTAATTTCTTTTAAATCTATGGATAGATGCTAATTTGCACAGCCTCATTCTGATGAACATGTCTGCATTTTCTAACTGCTGTTAAAGAGTGTATGCAAGCCTTTCTGTGCAATCTACAAGGATCCATGTAATTTTCTTTCAGAACTTAGTAACATAAACTGTCCTGCCTAAAGAAATGGTATGTTTCTTTATTCCCCCAATGAGAACTGTATTTGTTTTCCTTTTGAGTCTCAAAGGCTCATAGCTAAATTTAACATTCAATTCCAGGAAGAAAGATTATAGCTATTACTATCTCTTTCTCCTCTTTCAATCTTTTATTTGTATTCTTAATAGCATTATCACGTGTCTTTTATTATAAAAAACTTTAAATTCCTTTAGGAAGCGACTATTAATTAAAAATAAATAGAATGTTACCATTAGTGACTTTACTCATCTTTACTTATTAATTTTAAAACACTGTCTCTATTATAGTACGGTTTTGAGAAACCATTAGAAATATTTAAAAATTTATGTTAAAAATATTCCAAAGACAGAAAAGTATATTCCTTTAATAAACAAATCATCAAAAGAAAAAACCTTTATCTGTTTGGAAAAAACAAACAGACAACAGGAAAGGAACAAACTACACAGTTTCATTCTTCCGAAACAGAACAAAAGAATAATACTTTCTTAGGAACAAAAAGAAGTTACAAGATAACAAGCTTTTTAGTTAGGGAGAACTTAGGAGAAATAAAAGCCCAGTTCACCAATTCTGAGCAAACACAACAGGACAGTTAAAGAGCAGAATGGGGCCAAACTTCAGTTATATGTACCCAAAATGAAGCAAGGAAGGACTCTGAACCGTTAATGGATTTAATAAACAAGCCTGGTAATTCCCTGGGGGAAGTCTGAGAGTTCTTAAACCAGAATAAAGGTGGTTTAGGATTACCTCAAAATGACACAACTTATCTCTTATTACTTACCTCTTGAGGTTTACTGAAAGGTTTAGTGTGAATTAAATATTCACAGTTCTCCAAACCCTGATATAATTATCTTGCTTAAAATTCAAGATAATACATAGAAGCCAAGTATATGCTGTATGGTTCTTCTTATCTGAAGTTCAAAAACAGATAAGCTACATTATAACGTTACAAGTACGAGTAATGGTTATCCTTGGGAGGTGTGGAGCAGGTATAGGAACTGAAAGCACCAGGGAGCTTTTAAGATTTTGGTAATACTCTGTTTCTTTAACTGGCTGCTGGTTACACAGGGTGCATTCACTTTATTAAAACTGAAATTTGTGATTTATGTACTTCTCTATATGTATGTTATGACAATAGTCACCCAAAAATGTTACATGCATAAAATAATTTAACCTGAATATTTTATAAATCATCTAATTAGACATATGCTGTTCATAGGAAGAAAATACAAATGCTCAATAAATATACAAAGAAATGTTCGACTTCACTATTTTCAAGAAAATGCAAATTAAAACAATAAAACTCCATTCCCCTCTCCTGTAGATTGTTAAAAAAAAAAAAAAAAAAAAGTTTTGCCCCTGATATTCTAAAAATCATTGTTGGTGTCCTTGCCTTCACAGCTGGAGGGAGTATCAAGTGGTATACCCAGTTTAGAGGGCAAACTGATAAGTAGGTATTGCTATTCTGAATATCATTAATTCCCTCTTAGTATTTACCCTAGAGAAATATTCAACTGAATGTACAAAGATGTTTCCTTGCAGCATTGTCTGTAACAGAAAAAGAAGAAACATTAATGTCCACTGATGGGGAGAGAGCTAAATTAACTATGGTACATCCAAATACTATGACACAATATGCAGCAGCTGGAAAGAATGCAGTCAAGCTGTATTTTCTAAACTGATCTGCTCTCCAAGATGTATTGCTAAGAGAAAATGCAATACCATTTTTGGAAGGAAGGAAACCACACCCTCCCCCAAAAGGCTTAATGCCATATGGTTTATATAAATAATTACAAATGCACAGAGATCTGTCTAGAAGAATACCTGCCAATGACACATGCGGTTGCCTCTATGGGATGGGACAGCTGTGACTGAGGATGGTGGTCAAAGGGAATTAAACCTTTCTCTAATGTTTCATAGAGAACATTTCCATTTGTTACTTATAGGGTTAAAAGGAAAGAAGGGAGAGAGAAAAGGAAGGGGAGAGGAAAAAGAAGTAGCTTAGCTGTAGCCAAAGTAAGTTGCCTGTCAGTAACTGCTATTTTTCCATGATCCCATAATCAAAGCAAAAAGATTAATGTTAAGGTAGAAACAACCCATACCCCTTAGGAAGATGATTGCTTGCCATACATTAAGCCCAAAGTAAATTTTCAACAACAAGTTAGAAAGACTGAAAACATAAATTGAGATAGGAATGATAAAAGTATTTAGTAAACTAAAACTACATTGGCACCACCAAAGATCCTGAGCCTAATAAAACCATCATTTGGTTTACTGAGTAGCATTTATCTCTTCCCATTTGAAGTTTAAGCTCATGTTTTGTTTTTCCCTTCATGAGACACAGCCAGAAAAATTATTAATATAATAAAAGAACTAAGTGATGAAGTCAGAAAGCAGGTTTACTGAAATTAAATCCATCTACACAAAATATGAGCCCATAAATATATGTTACATGTAATATATGTTATGTTATGTAATATGTTATATATGTAATGCATATTATGTGTAATATGTTGTATATGTTTATGTTGTGTATATATGTGTAATATATGTGTTTATATATACACACACATATATAAACACACACACACACACACGTAAGTCCCTTAAGCATGAAGAAAGTTCTAGCAGAAATTTTCTCTGCTCACAACTCAAAGAGGCCAGTTGTGACAGTCAGGCTAAGACCTCACATCTCCTGTGACCGGCTAAGCGTTCTTTCCATTAGAAGGGGATCTTAGAAGGCTAAGGAAAATCAACTAAAACAGAGAAAAGCAATTAATATACAACCAAGGCCTGAGTCTTGAGGGAGAACAGTGCTCAGTCAAGCTAGGACAAAATGCAAAGACATAAAGAAGCGGACTTCTTGACATTATTTTTTGTGGTACACACTGCACAGTGATTGGTTTAGTCACAAGGAAGTTTTTCCATGGTTTCAGATTTCTGTTTGGTTTTGTTTCCTCCAAACTGTTTCAAACAATCTGAATTATTAGCAGCAAACTTTTAAAAATATCACCATTTTTTTCTTCTCAAACAGCAAGTACACTATATTTCAACAATTTCCTGTTACTACACAAAGTTTCCTTTCAAGATGTAAAAGTTAAAACCACATACACCCATGCTAAGTGGAACTCTATTATGTGAAATCATTTCAAAATGATTAGGGTAACTCTAGTATACTCCACCTAGCTGTTATTTAAGGGACTACTTTTCAAATTACTTATTATAGTCCTCAAAATGTTAAACATAGAGTTACAATATGATCCAGCAAGCCCAGTCCTAGATATATAAATCCAAGTGAAATGAAAACATATGTCCACACAAAAACAGGCACATAAATGTTCATAGTGAGATAGGAGACCTGCAGGACTTGTTTTCTGGTCACAACCCTACTGGCCAAAACAGGATCTGGCCCAGACAAGATGAAGTGAAAAAACAGGCAGGCATCTAAAGATGGCAAGGAAAGCAATCCCTAGCTGCCCCCATTGTCCATTAGCATAAGACACTCCCACCAGCGCCACGACAGTTTATAAATGCCATGGCAATGACCTGGATGTTACCAACCCCTTCCTTGGCAAGGGCCTGGAAGTTACTGCCCCTTTCCTAGAAAGTTCTAAATAACCTGCCCCTTAATTTGCATGTAATTGAAAGTAGGTATAAGTAAGTATAAATGCAACTGCCAAGAGACCATACGTTGCCTACTCTGGGCCCACTGCCTGTGAGTTAGCCCTGTTCTGCAAGGAACAGTACTGCTCAATAAATGACTGCTGTCACTGGCTCACCCTTAAATTCTTTCCTGGGTAAAGCCAAGAATTCTCCTGGGTTAAGCCCCAATTTGGGGGCTCACCTGTCCTGCATCAATAGCAGCACTATTCATAGTAAAGGAGGAAACAACCCAAATAGACTTCACTTGTTGAACGGATAAACAAAAGTGGTATATCTATCAGTAGATATTATACTAAAAAAAAGAGAGAGATGAGGTACTGACACATGCTACAACATAGATGGACTTTGAAAACACTATGCTAAGTGAAAAAAGCCAATCACTAATGGCCACATGGTATATTATTTCATTCACATGAAATGCCCAGACCAGACAAAGCTACAGAGACAGAGAGCAGACCAGTGGTTCCCTAGGGCTGGGGCTGGGGACAGTGGGAATGTGAGGTGACTACTAATTAGTACAAAGCTTATGAAGGGGGGGTTCTAAAATTAGACAGTGGTGATGGTTGCACAGCTCTGTGAACAGTCTAAAAACAATTGACCTGTACAGTTTAAATGAGTGAATTGTAGATGTGAATTATATTTCAAAACAAAAAAAATAATATGTTACTTAGCTGAGAGATTATCAAGACATGAATAACTAACCACTTCTGCCCTGGAAGTCATGAATGCCAAAGGAAAAAGAGAAATTGTAAGAATACCTATCACCTTACAAATTAGAAACAAGAACAAACACAAGCAAAGCAAGAGAACAAAAGGGGACCAAAAACTAGAGAGTGAAATCACTGAACAAAAAAAGCACTAGATAGAAGTACATCAAAATGTTACCAATGGCTGTCCCTGCATAGTGAGACTGGTTTTTTCCTCCCTCCCTAACTTTTATTTTCCAAATTGTGTGCAACTAGTATAATTTTTACATATTAACAAAAAATATCCCAGCAACATCTGTTCCGAAGAGAAAAATCAGAAGCCAGGATTTCTTACGTTAAAGAACTGGACAAAAGTCCATCACTGATATACATATCACTGAGGGTAGCATTAGCCACTAACATAAAGTATAAAATTTGAATTATACAATGTTAAACTGGTCCAATGTTTTTCATACATATAAAAGTTGATATTCAGACATTAATCTTTTTTTCTAATATAGAATTATTGAGATTCATTGGAAGGCATAAAATACCACTGTTTCAGGGGAGGGCATCCAACAAGTGATTTGACTGGACAAGTAATAAAATGCTTTCCTTCATGTTTCATATTGTATCAATTATTTTTTCTTTTCTTGAGACAGAGTCTCACTCTGTCACCCAGGTTGGAGGGCAGTGGTATGATCTCGGCTCACTGCAACCTCCACCTCCTGGGTTCAACTGATCCTCCCACCTGAGCCTCCCAAATAGCTGGGACCACAGGCGTGGGGCACCATGCCCAACTAATTTTTTTTTTTGTATTTTTTGATAGAGACAGGGTTTCACCATGTTGACCACCGCACTCAGCCTACAATCAGATCTTTAAAACACAAACTGCTCATATTCTTTACAAAATCTATAGTTACATCATTATCTTTTATAAAAGACTTTTTTAAAGTTACAGATTAATGCAAACTGAATGAACACACCACCATTTTGTCAAATAAAACAGAGGCATTTGTTACCAAAGCACTGGGGGTTTGGTCTAGGTCCCTGCTGCTTGCAGCACAGAAAGCCAATCACTGAGATGAGTATTGACAGAGAAAAAGGCTTTAACTGGGTGTCCAGCAAAGGAGACGGGAGATCAGTCTCAAATTCACCTTCTTGCCCAACTAGAATCAGGATTTTATAAGCAGGAAAGAAATGTAACTACACACACACACACACACACACATACACACACACACACACACACAGAACAAAACAAAACAAAAAACGGAATTAGGGAGTGGTAAGGAAGAGGAGTTGGTCAACAGGCAGCAGGTGGTTGGGTCGGGCAATCATGATGGGTGAAGGGGCTGGTGTCTCATTGTCCAGATACGGTGATTTGGTAAGTTTCAGTTCTCTTGATACTATCTGTGAGGCCTGATGGTTGGTATCCTGAAAAAGGAACTCAGATAAGACAACAGTAACTGTCTCAGGTTTTAAGCCCGAGAGGGTCAATTTCTACGTTTATTCAAAAGAAATTATAAAATCAGTTCTATGGGACAAGTGGGCTAGTTTCATATCTGTCATTCATATTATTTTTTCTTTTAATAGATACAAGCAAAATGATGAAAATATTTAAATCGGTTTCCCTCTTACAATCGGTTCTTCACATAGCAAAGGGTAGTTTACCCACAATGACTCATGAAATGTATTCAAGGGTTCAGCCCCCTAAATCTATCTGCTATGTATAAAGTATTTTTCTGCAGAGAGGATCCCTAACATTTTTCAGATGGCTTTGTAACTAGAAAGAGTTAAGGCATTATTGCTTTAGAAAAATAATTCAGCAGCAGCCAAAGATAGTCTTCTACTGGAAACAAATTCTAGAGAAGTGCTTAACTCTCATAAAACTATATTGTGTAATTTTCATTCATGAAACAAGCTTATCTAGGCAATGAGGTAAAGCCACAGATAAAGCATATATAGTCACTATTCTACAAAACAACTCTAACCTGAGTCAAAAAAACCATGAAGTACTGAAGAAGAGGTAGAAATAAGAGATCTATTTCTTATGTATGTATTATAGGTAATATTATTTTGTTTCTACTTATTGGCATTAGATTTTGTTTATTAAATACTTGAGATGTTTTCATGATTAACACCTCATAATATGAAAGGAATCAAATAATTTTTTATTCAAAGCATTTCTGATTGAATTCTATCAACCATGGAATTCGGTGTAAATGTTACTAATGTTAATAAAATGGGTGTTTTCTTTCACTTATTCTCAAAGACAATGGCTTTATATAAAAGTATATTTTGTACAAATAATAACAGGGTCAATTACTCAAACATCTGCTTGGCTATTAAAATGCTGACCCTTTTATTCTCTAGATTTACAAAAATCAAAGTAAGTAACAGATGGAGAATGACCATAGAACTCTATTTATCTTAAAGTGTTTCATGTAGCACATTCTTACCATTAATAAATAAAAACATAGTTAATGTGACTGCCAAAAAAAGACTTTATTTGGTAATAAAATATCATGAAGGCTTAAGAAAGGCAATTGGTACTTGCAGGATGTTTTTAAAGTTATTTATAGGATATACAGATGGAACTTTTTTATGGCCAAAAAGAGACTATTTTCAGAACAGTATAATCATTAAAATACCACGGAAGACATCTTTGAAAATCTGATAAATCTAAAAGCCACATTGCCTATACAATCACATATCACAGAAATTCAGAGTTCAAATAGGCTTTAGAGATAACTTACTCCACTGGCTTGCAAACTTCTGGACCACGAAACTCTTTATCCAAAAATCCCAAGAAGTCTCATATGAAACAAATAAAAACACAGCAGTAGGCTGGGCGCAGTGGCTCACTCCCGTAATCCCAGCACTTTGGGAGGCCGAGGTGGGCAGATCACCTGAGGTCAGGAGTTCGAGACAAGCCTGGCCAACATGGCGAAACCCTGTCTCTACTAAAAATACAAAAAATTAGCTGGGCGTGATGGCGGGCACCTGTAATCCCAGCTACTCGGGAGGCTGAGGCAGGAGAATCGCTTAAACCCAGGAGGTGGAGGTTTGCAGCGGGCTGAGACTGCACCACTTCACTCCAGCCTGGGCGATAAGAGCGAAACTCCGTCTCCAAAAACAACAACAACAACAAAACACAGCTGCTCTATTTCAGAGCCCAACCCCACTCCTCACCTCTATCAGGACCTCTCCTTCTTAAAGGTGTTAAAGAATATCATCCGAAATCAGTGGCCCAACTAAACCCTTTCTATTCTAGATGAGGTAACAGAGATCAGATTCACTTTTGACAGTTTATTTTCCTTACTGCTAAGAAAATTTTTATCCAGACTGCCTGGTAGTTGATTTACACCTTATATAATCTACATTTAAAGTGAGTCACAAACACGTAACTTTAGAGATAGAAGGAGCCTAAGGGCAGGCTTCCCACTCTCAGTCTGGTCTCTCCAGTCTACTCTACCTGTATTTAAAATTGGTTGCATTAAAAATGAGTATTTTTTCAGAAATCATTAAAAGACATGGAACAAAAGAGAAATACCGTATAAAGAACTTTACAAACAATATTCCAATCCTCACAACTCTATAAGGTGGTTAACCATATATCCATTTTACAGCTGCAGAAAGTGAGCTCAGAAACATTCAAACATGCCCATGAGAGAGGATAAAGTAAGAAATCGTGAGAGAGGATAAAGTAAGACACCCGTAAGGCAGGCAATTGGGGTGAGTCCTTGGTAAAACTCCTTCAAACAAAGAAGCCTGAAAATCAAACTGCAGGCCCCAGATAAGAAAGAGCCCATGTCCTTCAATGGAAATGCTTACTCTGTGAACCCAAAACCCTTTGGATACATTTCTCTCTCCTTGGCATGCCTTAGTCCCTTACTTTTCACCTATTTGACATATGTCTACTTTTCTGTAAGTAGCCACGGGCTAAGTCTTCATTTATATAGGGTGAATCATCACTTCAGCCCCTGATTGGTCCCAGGCCAAGGTCCTGGGCCTAGCCTCCACCTCTGCCTCCAATTCTTTACACTAACATACTTCTAAGTGGTGCTTTCTCCAAAACAGCCTGCAGACCAGTCAGCACATTCCTTGTCTTTCCAGTCCATAAAATCCCCGGACTCAGCCTCATAGCTGGCAACCCTCTTTCAGGCCCCCTCTCAGTTGCAGAGTTTTTCTCTTTCGCTTATTAAACTTTTGCTCCAACCTCACCCTTGGTGTCCATGCTCCTTAATTTTCTTGGTCGTGAGACAAAGAACTCTGGGTAACACCTCAAACAAGACTGCTTCATCTAGACCATATAACTGGCAAGCAGCAGAGTCAGGATTTAAACCTACATCCATTTAACTCCAAATCCTGAACGGTTTCCAATAAACAACTTTACATTTGTGTAGCAAATTCCAGGCTATGTAAGAAAGGAGGACTCCATGGTGCAGGCAGAGAAAAATACCATATATTGTTCAAAATTGTATCACAGTGACAGTTATCTACTAATATGAATACCCTAAGTTATTGGCATCGCTGAAATGAGGTGATGAAGAGTATGGCTGACAATGCATTAAAAAATAATAAGAAACAAAGTAACAAGAAGACCAACAAAGCAAAGCTCAGTTTAAATTAATGAGGCCTAGATTATGAATGTAAAGAAAGTTTTAAAAGTAACTATTCAGAGAATCAACAATGAGAAATCTAGTCACTAAACTTAAGCAAAAGCATTAAGTCCAAAAGTGAATGAGAAAAAAATCTGTCAGAGGCTGCTACAAATGAGTAAATTACAATTTATTTAAAACAAAAATTATTTACAAAAGAGTAAAATGTTTTTCAGATATTTAACAAAATGGCACAAAAATAGTTATTAATGCAAAGTCTAACATTTTTAATAAAAACTCAGTTTTTCTCTAAAAGATTTTTATCCTTGATTATACCTAGAATCCTGATAAAAAAGCAATTCAGTGTAAAGGCTAAGAAATATTTATAAAGTTAAGCTACGAAAATTCCACATAATTAATAATTACAAAAGCAACATTCTAGAAGTTATTGGGGATGGCACTTCTCCAAGAAATTAAATGAGTTAGTGGGATGAAAGTAAAAAGGAACTTGAGCTGGTATTAGGGTTGCCTTGTATTGTGTTTACTCCAAGCACTTCGGTTTATATCAGAAAATGCTGAGTCTAGAGGGTATACACAGGGCATCTTCCCTAAGTATCAGTTTTACTATATTTTGCAAAGAATACTTTTACCTTCATACACAAGCACATAAAGCAGATCACAGAAGTCTCATGAAACTTAGCAGGGGAATCTAATTCTGAAATAAGTAAATACTGACATTGTAATAAAGGCTATGAAAGCTATAACAAGAGTTGTATGCTCTTCCAGAAAGGCCAGAAATAATAACAGTAGCAGAGCTAAAGTAGAGAAGTTTTGTTTTGATTTTGGGCTTTTATTTGTGGGTTTGCTGGGCACTGCCTAGGTGGAGACAGGGCTGAAGAAAGCACAGTGTATATGGTATCCCGCATCCCTGGGCAGGTACGTGCTTGTTAGGTTCAAGGAACTGAAATGAGATTCAGATAAGCATTTTTAATAATAAAAAATAGGACCATAATATCTTTATAACTCTAGAGAGGGAGGATGCTAGGCTTAACACTAATCCATTGCATCTGCATATGACACATTTACACAGAGTTTACAAATCACTTTCCATTACACTCTCATTTGACCTTTCTGGCAACCTATAAGAAAAGGTAGGAATTTTACAGATGAAAAAATGGGTTTGTGCCCAAGGTCATAAAGCCAGATAATGGAAGCACTGGAGATATCTCTGAGCCTACTGAACGTCCTCTAGTTATCACACACATATCCACATGTCCACCACCTATACAGTACCCGGAAGAAAGACGCCCAGAAACTCCACTAACTGAGAGGCTACTCTGTGCCAAGGGCAGAATCAGAGGCGAAAGGTACAGTGAGCTGGCACTACCCTACAGGATTCCCCCAACCAACTAATTCAGAAAGAGGGATTCAGATATGGTTTGGGTCTGTGTCCCCACCCAAATCTCATGTTGAATTGCAATCCCCAATGTTGGAAGAGGGGCCTGGTGGGAGGTGACTGGATCATGGAGGCAGATTTCCCCCTTGCTGTTCTCATAATAGTGAGTAAGTTCTCATGAGATCTCGTTGTTTATAAAAATATGTAGCACTTCCCCCTTTCTCTTCCTCCTGCTCTAGCCATGTAAGGCAATCCAGCTTCCCCTTTGCCTTCTGCCACCATTATAAGTTTCCTGAGGCCTCCCCAGCCAAGCTTCCTGTACAGCCTGTGGCACCATGAGCCAATTAAACCTCTTTTCTTTATAAATTACCCAGTCTCAGATAGTTTTTTATAGCAACGCAAGAACAGACTAATACAGACCCCAATATATTATCTGTATCTCCACAGCAAAGAAGTCAAGAATAATACATAACCACCTACCTCATCAAAAAACAAAAAATGTTTTCATGTAAATCTTTAGAAAAACCATGAGGCAAAGAAGTTTGATACCTACTGACTGCTTAGACTTATACTCCAGGACTCACACTCTACTAACAACCACACCTGTGTAATCCATCCAACACCCTCTCCTCTGCCCTTTCACCCCCACCCTTACTTTCTTTACCTATGAAATGAGAAGATTGAGGCTCCATTGGTGGTTCTCAACAAAATGGCACTACCCCTCTAAGAGCATTTTGGAAATCTGTTGGTGCTTTTTCTTTCTTCTTCTTCTTTTTTTTAATCTTCTAGCATAATCATATCTTATACTGTATTTTAAATTATACTCCTTTTATTTTTCCTTTATATTGCAATTAGAGAATTATTACTATATTGATTCATTTTACTTATGGGGTAAAAATTTTCATTAGGAATTTCATTTCAGGACACTAAGGAGAGTATTAGAAATATTTATTATGAAAGGGGGGCTTTGGATTAGAGAGAATTAAACATTAATAGACTAGATGATCTTGAAGGTCCTTTCCAGTTCCATAATTTACTGATTCTATGAATATTTTGAACACAAATAATGAGACAAAGAACACCGATAAACAGAATGTACATAATGATTTGTGGGCAAGAACAAAAAATCCTAAATCTGTTTCTGCACTTGATTAAATAATTAAATTCGTAGGAAAGCAATTACATCTTACTGCCTAAAATGTTATATATCAGAACACTGTGTACTTTACTTTTAAGAAAAGATTAAAATGTCAAAAGCAAAATCAATCTTATAATAGGAACTGACAAACACAAGTTCAAAAGGAAGCTCTGGGACTGGCAAAGATTCAGCCCATATGTCCCAATGATCAATTTCAAAAATTAAAAAAAAAAAAAAATCACACTTCATGAAATGGTTATATCGTGAAACGAACCTGGAATCATTAAGATAAATATATAGATTTACTATACTTCCCTCCACCCCCCAAACAGAAAAATCAGTGATAAATTTCAAAAAAAAAAAAATTAAAAATGATTAAAACAGAAAGATGAAGCTTTGAGGATCAACTGATCAATTTTTCCATGAGCAGGGGACAGCATACAGAAATTAAGAAGACATGGCATCCCTTGAGCAAGCCAAGATTCCAAAGCTACTGCAGACGTTTAAAAAAAAAAAAAGTAAAAGAATGCCTACTATAGGTTAGGCATCCCCATACACACACTTACATACATGTATGCATACACACATACGTGCATGCATACATGTATGCACGTATGCATGTGTGTATGCACGTATGCGTGTGTGTATGCATGTATGTATGCAAAAATATAGGTTTATATTTTTGTATATCATAGCATTTAATAATCATAACCTTTCAAGATAGATATTATTGTCCACTTTCACTTACGAAGAATATGAAGTTAAAAGACAACACAGGGATTTCCAGCTATCGGGACCATGTGAAACAAGTCTTTCAAAAATAAGCCTAAAAGCCTCTGAAGAAAAAAGCTGTCGAAGTTCACACAAACTTGACTTTGTGGAAGAGTTCTGCTAAACTTCACCCACTGACTTCATATTATATATGAAACTATTTTGTTTTTGGTTTTGGTCTTTTTGTTTTTTGGTTTTAAGACAGGGTCTCACTCTGTCGCCCAGGCTGGAGTGCAGTGGCACAGTCATAGCTTACTGCAACCTCAAACTCCTGGAGTCAAGTGATCCTCCTGCCTCATCATCCTGAACAGCTGTGACAACAGGCACACACCATCATAACCTGGCCAATTATTTTTTTATTCTTCTATTTTATTTATTATTTATTTATTTTTAATTACTTAGTTGGTTATTTAGTTATTGGACTGACTGTAGAGATGGGAGGATCTCACTATGTTGACCAGGCTGGTCTTGAACGCCTGACCTCAAGAGATCCTACCACCTCGGCCTCTGAAATTGTTGGGTTATAGGCATGAGCCACTTCGCCCAGTCAAAACTATTTTTTAAATAACTAATGCCTCTATGTACTAAGAACTTTCATGACCACTACCTTATTTGATATTTCAATATTTTATCTTTATATTGGTATCATATTTAAGATATTCATCTGATTTGATAGCCCCCATTATTCTAGTCCATAAAGAAATAGAAAAAAGATCAGTGGTTGCTAGGGGTTAGGGAGAGAATGTGGCAGTAAAGGGATAGCACAAGGAGTTTTCTAGAGTGACAGAGCTGTTCTGTATCTTGACTACAGTTGGGGGTTACACAACTACACACATATTAACATTTACTGATGTATGCCAAAAGAAAAAAAGTCAGTTAAAAAAATTTAACTGCACTTCTTTAACAGCATGATCTAGAACATGCTTGGTATAACAATATTCCTCCCGGACTTCATTTGCTTTCAATGCCACAGTTTTTAGCTCATGAAATAAAATGACTTTGTAGAAATACTTCAGTCCTTTGATTGTTCAGTTTTTTATGTACATTCTCATGAAACAGTTGCCAATTTATTTTTAAAAACATCACTAAGTTATATTGATATATCAACATTTTAAAATCCAAGTTATAACAAAGTCAGACTTTACAAAAGTTACTGCCTTACAAATTTCCTTGAGTTTCACTATATGAAAGTCTACATTAAATAATAAGAAAGTCTACTTTAAGTCTCTGCTCACAACCATTTCAATCTTAGGAGGGAGGGAGACAAAATTTACTGAGTATCTACCTCCACATGTGTGCCTGACATTACTGCAACTGTCTTGCTTCACTAGACAATCTCACCACCCCTGGGAGGGAGGTGTCTTTCCAATTTTACAAAGAAAAAACATGGGGTTCAGCAGGTTAAACAATGTAGCCCACGGGTCTGGGCTAATAAGGTAGTGGTGCCAAAATAAGCCAGAGCTTTTTTAAAAAGGGCTAATTTTAGTGTGCCCCAAAAATAAGGGTATAAATTTACAGTACATGGAAATGTATAAATGAAATTCACAGAGTCAGTGCAAAATACTGATTTGTCATCTCTAAAAATAAACAACTGTCAAGTTATTTGCTATGTGATAAAAATTCTTCCAACCAAGAAATCTGAGATTATGCTAACAAGCCAATTTCATGCACTAGATTTTACTAGTAACAAAGAAAGCAAGCTCTTTCATATTGCTTATTACCAAGAACTAAAAATATCTAGCATTTTAGGTTAAGAACATAACTTATTAGTGATGTCCATCACATAAGCAGTAACTCAAGGATAAAGTATCATATACCCAAAGGTTTTTTTTTTTTTTCTTTTTTTTTCTGCCCCAACTCTTAACTTCTTAGAGTCCAAACTCCTACTGTTAAAATTCAAGGTCTTCTACAGTCTGGCCCCAAGTTAATTTTTGAAATTTCCTCTAACTATTCAGCTTCCTAACACTCTACTCAAGCCACAGCTGAATTCTTTCTATTGCCCAAGCTCAATTTATACCTCATGTCTAAGCATTTGCTCATATACCCGCTTTACTCCTCTCAAGGAAATTCAACCCCATCCTACAAGTCCAGCTCAGTTCTCTCCTCCTACAGTAACCCTACCCAAACTATCAGTTCAGAAAAGTCTCCTTCCTTCCCTAGAAGTATAAGACTTAACTATTCATAATGTACATAGTGTTATTGTGTTAAACTGATATTTATCTCACTTTTTTCATGTATGTCTTATTTCTACATGTCAGAGACCTGTTACGTCCATTCTTGTATCATCCTCACCTAGTGGGTAGCCAGAAAATGTGTATTTTTTAAAATTTTAGGCTACAAGTTAAATAAGATGGTACTTAAATATATGTATGGATACATACGACATGATACATAAATGCCTAATGTATGCTCAACCTAGACACAGTATTACAGTTTCCCTTTAGGAATAAAAACGTTTAAAACACACATTTTATCTTTTTTGCAATTAAAGCTTCTAAGCAGAGTAAATCCAACAGCAAATTCCTATATTCCCTTTTCTTATCACTAATTTAAATTATAATCAGTTTATTGGTTATTATTTGGCCATGTACACTTCCCCCTGAAAGTCCAGTTACACCATCTACATATAACTTACAAAAGTTGTGGAGTACTACCACAAATGCAATTAATAGGCTAAAATTAAGGCATAAACAACCAGCCTTAGAAGTGGTAGCTATAAATAAATATTCTCTCTTGGGAAATTAAAAATAAATCTACAAGCAAAATATAAGTACAAGCTGGTACTAAGGCCACCTGCTTTAAGCTTTTAAATTCTAGTGGGTTATCTATGCACATACTACCATACAAAATCATGAGAGTCAGAAATACAGCAAATCATAAGGCCACCTAGTTTAATGAGGCAATACCACACAATGGTTAACAGAACAGGCTCTGGAGGCAAACTATACAGACCCTGTCTAACTCCATTACTCACTCGACTAACAATGCAGCCTTAAAAGCAAGTTAACAACCTCACTGTGCCTCCATGAGTAACAACAGTACCTACCTTAGGATAAGTATTGAGTTAATATATGTAAAGTGCTTAGAAGAGTGGCTGGTATATGTAAGTGCTCAATAAATATACTACTGAATTACACATGGCACTAATGTATCTATTGTTTCAATTAATATATTTTATCAAACATATACTTTATCCATGGCCAATATATTTACAGATGTACTTGGGTTTACCAGATACATACTGTCTTCTGTCTATTTCACCAGATGAGTTTCCTACCCATATAAACTATACCTTCTTTCTCATTTAGGACTTTCTACAATAGCAATACCCAATAGAAATATAATGTAAGCCACAACTGTAATTTTAATTCTTCTAGTACCCACGTTTTTTAAAAGTAAATAATGTATTTAACCTAGTATGTCTAAAATGTTATCATTTCAATGTGTAATCAATCCAAAATAATTAACAAGATACTGTACATTTATTTTTTCATACTAAGTCTTTGAAATCTGGTGTGTATTTTATACTTACAACACATCTCAATTTGACTAGCCACATCACAAATAGTCAGTGCTATGTATTACTCTAGTAGATGCCATGTTGGACAGTGCTGCTTAATATACTTCTGCGCATAGGTGTGTATACTGCATACTGATGACTACAAAATCAAATCTTTAAAACTTCCATGCTGTATTAAATTTGTTGAAAACAAGTAAGAATTTGGTATTATAATTTATGAGTTCAAAATCTTAAGACTTCTCCAACATGAAGCATTTAAAGTGCCTAGTTTCTCAAAACTACTTTACAGATGAAGAAACCCAGAGAAGTAAAGTAATTTAGTGTATTGTAAGAGTTACCAGGAAAATTTCCTTTTTTGAGTCCTAGGCCTTCCTACAATCAAACCCCTCTTCAAAATCAGGGTAGCCCCGGGCCAGGTGCAGTGGCTCACGCCTATAATCCCAGCACTTTGGGAGGCCGAGGCAGACGGATCACGAGGTCATCCTGGCTAACACGGTGAAACCCAGTCTCTACTAAAAAAAATACAAAAAATTAGCCAGGTGTGGTGACACGCACCTGTAGTCCCAGCTACTCAGGAGGCTGAGGCAGGACAATCACTTGAACCTGGGAGGCGGAGCTTGCAGTGAGCTGAGATTGTGCCACTGCACTCCAGCCTAGGCAACAGAGTGAGACTCTGTCTCAAAAAAAAAAAAAAAAAAAAATCAGAGTAGCCCCTAAATTAGCTGAGACTGTAGTCAGACTATCCAAGTTTGAATCCTAGCTTGGCCACTTAATAACTGTGAAATTTCCAACCTGTTACTTCCTCAGTTGTAAAAAATAGGGGTGATAATAGCAGTACCTACACACCAAGGGGTTGTGAAAATCAGATGAGTTAATACATGTAAGGTATTTGGAACAGCAACTGGTGCAGAGTATACATACTGAGTAAATGCTGGTGATTATTAGTTATTAAAAGGAAGCTGATATAGCTAGATTAAGACACATCAGTTTGGATTTAGACACAAGTGCCTCACGTGAAGTTTAAGAGCGTAACCAGTTTTTTGCATGTTTTAAGTGTAATGGTGGGTTGCTTGTACAGAAGCAACTAGAGTCCTGACTGGCTCTCTTCAGGATGGGGTGGGGCCACAGGGCACTCCCTGATCCCTGCCTTACACAGACCTCTTAGCAGAATTACTCTTTCTTCTTTGACCAGATGGGACAGAATAGGCTCTTTCCCCACCTTATCTTGCCTATGTAGTAAGATAACTGTGGGCTGGGCGCGGTGCTCACGCCTGTAATCCCAGCACTTTGGGAGGCCAAGGCGGGCAGATCACGAGGTCAGGAGATCGAGACCATCCTGGCTAACATGGTGAAACGCTGTCTCTACTAAAAATACAAAAAATCAGCTGGGCATGGCAGCAGGCACCTGTAGTCCCAGCTACTCAGGAGGCTGAGGCAGGAGAATGGCATGAACCCAGGAGGCAGAGCTTGCAGTGAGCCGAGATCGCGCCACTGCACTCCAGCCTGGGCGACAGAGCGAGACTCCGTCTCAAAAAAAAAAAAAGAAAGAAAGAAACTGTGAAGAAGTTGTACTTCTTGGAGTGGAAATTCCTCCCTTTCTTCCCCACTAAGTCTGGGAAGGTAAAGAAGATAACATTAAATATGCTTTCATTGTACTCACATCTTGAGAACTGTATTCTCCAAGCCCACTCACTTGTATGGTACAATGGTGGAGAGGGGAATGCTGCTATCAGAACTACATCTGAAATATGAAATGTCTGTAATAAGATTAAGATACTTGCCAGGGTCACACTGTAGCAGATCTAGGGCTAGATCTATAGTCTAAGTCGCATATTCTCAACTCTAAACCAGGATGAGGTCATATGAACCTATCAGTACAATGGAAAACTGATCCTGGGCCAAAAAGTGATTACAGATTGAGAGGAAATGATTTGATGGTTTAAGATTACACAAATTTAGAGTCCATAATTTTAACATTGTAACAGAATCTGAAGAATGTCCTTATGGGCAAGGTAACTGCCTTCGGTGAGCATCATTTGTTAATTCCTTATGGAAATATAGTAATGATATTGGAAACAGACATTGAGGACAGAATTCAGGATTGCTGAGAACCTAATACGAGCTTTGCACTGACTTGTTACACAACTCTGCACTCCAAGACCCTCTCTAGCTCTACAATTCTCAGTGTCTAGGGAAAGGGGTCTAAATCAATGCAGCCTAGGTGGTAGGAATCTGGAATGTGGGAGTTATTGAGTGCTAAAACTTATTTCCAGAGGAAAAAACGAAAGAGAATATCTAAGAGACAATATCTAAGAGTCAATATCTAATCTGAAAAAGCAAGAGCTAGGGACAACCAAGCTGTTTTGAATATAAACCATTAAAAGAAAAGAGAAAGTAAAGACAGTTCCAAGGTCAGTGCCATCAGGCAATTGCCATGTTGGTGAGGGATGTGGCTGCAAAGTCAGCACAATCTCAATCTCAAATCAGTCATTACTGAGCATGAAGCCAACATTACCTTTTTTCTCCAAGTTATAAATGGATAATAATCTACTGTTACTTTAGCAGCAAGCTATGAAGATTGCACACACATGACCAAATTTTAGTGTTGGAAATTTTAGAAACTTACAGCCAAAGTAATCTGATACAAATTTACTAATATTCCTGATTGCTGTGATTCACAGTCTCTAGACCTAACTGGAAAAAAATTCATGTGATTTACTGTAGTAACTACAACTACTACAAAGCCAAACATTCTAAAAAGAGCAGTAAGGAAAACAGGGTTTTTCCCTGGGTTGATGCTGAAGACCTCTAAAGCTTTGATGGTTTTTCTTTTTAACAGCTTTATTAAGATATAATTCACATACCATAAAATCCACACATTTAAAAGTGTACAACTCCATGGTTTTTGGTATATTCAGAGGAATGCAGTAATCACCACAATTTTAGAACACTGCATCACTCTCACTTGGGTTGAGGAGTGCTTGTGGTCTGCTCTCCTTACCTGGTTCACCTGGGCTCAGCACTTGGCCCAAGAGTCACTCTCTCAGACAGGACTGTGCTGACTGTACAACTTAAATTATAACACCAGCATCAGGTAACACACTTCAACTCCTGGTTCAGCACTTAGCCCAAGAGTCACTCTCTCAGACAGGACTCTGCTGACTGTACAACTTAAATTACAACACCAGCATCATGTAACACACTTCAACTCCACCTAACACATCTCATCCCCATTTAACACACTTCAAGCACCACTCACATTGCTGCCCACCCACCCTTAAGCCTCTACTTTATTTTTCTCAGGACTGGTTGTATTTAGTATTTCAAATGTTTTACTTATTTTCTGTTAACTCTGAAAGGCAGATTTTAGTTTGTTTTATTAACTGCTGTACCCCCCAGGGCCCAGAACATGACACACTGTAAAAGTTTAATGTTTATAGAAGGGAAAAAGGGAGAGAGAGGAAAGAAGGAAATGGCTGCCCTACTACAAATGTCACTATTTTATGTTTGTTTCAATTTATTAAATTACGGATTTTCTATACCATTTTTCTCCTTTATAATGAAGGACGTCCAACCAGAGAAAACTAAAATAAATGAAGTTAACTAAACTTGCCACCATTGCAGACTCCAGTATCTATGCTTTAAAGATTGGTTCCCAACTTTGCATTCTTTCAAGTCTTTACTGAGTGCCTTAGCTGGGTACCATGGGAAATACAAAAGAATTATAAGGCAAAGTCACTTTCTTCCAAAGGTCTACCATCTATGTGAGCAAGACATGTACAAATTAAATGCATACCATCTTTTTTTCTGCCTTTGTTTTTGTTTCTTAAAAATGTGAGTTAACAATACCTAGTAAATATCATAGAATTTTAGGAGAAAAAATGATAATCTAGGTGAACTAGCATAGTCAGGAACTACCTAGAGAAAGTAGTGTTATTATAGTAGGTGGAACTGAAGTAACCAATAGCACCAAACACATAATGGCTTAACACAGTAATTTGCTTCTTGCATATGTAATACTCATAGGGTGGAGGAGGAAGGCTCACATTGGTGGGGCAATTCTCTTACATAGTCATTCAGGGACCTAGGCTGCTTGCACTGTGGCTCTGCATTTCCCTGGTTTCACATCATGGTACACATCCAACCAGCAAGAAAGGTAAGAATGTGGAGGAACACTACACATCATTTTCCACTCACATTCCATTGGCTAGAACTCAGTCACAAGAGCTAGCTAGCTCCAGGTTCAGGATGAAAAGAACAAATTCTGGTAGGAATTTGGTAGTCTCTGCCACTAGAGGATTTGAAATGAACGATGGGTGGCACATAACTGGGAAGGAGGGAACCATGTGAACAAAAACAAGCAAATCAAAGCTAAGTAACAGTACACTGGAAGAGTGAGAGGACAAGTCTGGCTGTATTCTGGGGAGCAGCAAGAGAAGAGTAAGGGTGGTTAGGTCAGTGGTTCTCAAACGCTAAACTTAAAACCAATCCCCAATATATGTCAAATTTTCCACCATTCTACAATGAAATGAGAATAAATACAAGTACATATCTTGTTAATAATGCTAAATGTTATAATTCAACTTCTGTAACTTACACATAATGTGATAACATAATATAAAAATTTAATGCTTTAATTTTTATGTTAAATTTTTTTAACAGGTCAGTTAAGGCTGTCCAAAGTTCTTTCTAAGATAATGCTCTTTCCTGACTATAACAAAGTCAGTCTTTATCCCATAGGCAATGAGGACTTACTGTCACTTTCCAGTTTATCATGTATTTTTAGTGGTTTAATATTTTCTAACAAGCCTGTATTGCTTTGGAAATTAGAAAATATTTAGTCCTAAAAGCCATAAGGGTTTAAATATACAAAACAAGAGTTATCAGGGAGTGAGCAGAAAGGCTTACCAGACCACATATATAAACTATACTCAAAATATATGCTGAAGTAGAAAGGCATCTGACTCTTCTGAGCCCAATTTCAAACTATTCTATAAACATATAACATATATGACAAATACGAAGCCCAAAAGGGAGTTTAAGAAAGCAGTAAATTAGCATGCTAAAAAACAATCTGCTATAGCATTAATCCAAATGTTCCTATAGCATTAATTCAAAGTTCCATTCCTAAAGGAACTCCTTTTCACCTAAAAATGGCATAATCTACTATTTTCCTATTTACTATAGGTTACAGAGGAAAATGTTTAGTTACCATTAAATACAGCAATGAAGAAAGTAAAGTGCTCTTTTTGCTAGAGAAATTCAAATGTCATCATTCAACTATGAGATAAAAATAAATTTTATTTGGAATAAAAGTGTTAAATTTAAATCTTAAACAAAAAGAACACTTAAGAGCAACTATTTATGACAATGGAAACGTGAATTTAAGACAAAGTTAATTCCTAACCTCTAATAAAATCATAGTTCTATAAAAAAAATCACTTGTTCAACCTTTCTTCCTTACACACCACTAATGGCAAGTATTGAAAAAGATGACATTGCACGATACTGCCTTAAAAATAGAGAAAAAAGCTGTCCAAAAAATTAAAACGGTACAAATTCCATTAACTGGAAGCCTAGTGTAGTGCTTCATTAAGTTCCAAATACGTCATGTAAACGTTAGCTATATATCTTTCTAGTCAGCTTAAAACTATTCAGCTAAGCGGGGACCAAACCAAATGAAGCCAACCATGCATGGAAAACATCTGCTGATAATTCCTAAAGTTAATGGTTTCTAATAGTAGTATATATCTCTTATCACAATGCTTTCCATGGAAAATATGCAATTATTCACTGGTGAAAGATCACACTAAGTGACTTAACAATATTACAAAAACCAGTATTAGTACCATATAGCAGTCTGTTAATGTTTGGATAATTTAATTAGTCAGGGTTTAATAAACCTTCTGCTTAAGTGAGTTACTGTTTTTAAAAAATTTAACACACATATACCATACCATACCATACCATACCATAGCATACCATAACATATCATACCATAGTAAAAGATGTGCAAAGTTATTTCTACAAACAGAATTTTAGGTCACTGAAATTCAATTTAAAACACATATGGAAAATGAAATATTTGATAAATAGTTCAACTTATTTTAAAATGAAATCACTTTTTTAAAACTGTCAAATGTTACTGAATGTTACACTCTCAAATGTACATACAGTTAAACACTGATCATAATAGTTCTAGTCATATTAAAATTTGATGGCTAACATTTATAGAATGTGTGGCCAAGCTTTCCTCTAAGCTCTGGACAAAGAAACAGAAACTAGATCTGCATTAGAGATTTTATTCTGCACAACATAGCTCTTGCCCACAGTACTTTTCTAGTGCTATTATCTTAAAATTACAATAAAATAACATTGGTTAAACGCAAAGCCAGGAAGTTATAATGAAACTGAGAAAACCCCCAAAATTTAAAAGTCTCAAAACTAGAATCACATGGTACAACGAGTTAATACACTAAAAAATAATAATAATACCAGAATTATTTCCAAAAGAGCCCTGTGGCTTTCAAAATGACTGATTTGGGAAGGCCACAATACTTATTCCCATAATGCTGTCAATACTTATAATATTTTTAGAACTCCTTTATGGGAAATCCCTGCAGAACCTTTAGCACATTCTATTAATTATCCTCAATGAATGGTAACAAATCTCCAAACTTTGAAAGCGAATTTGAGTTTTTGAAGCAATTAAAGAGTCTCATGGGGCCTAATACAGAGAATATGATGGATCAGCAAGCAGGGCCATCTATATTTGGTCCAAAATCAGATGTAAACATGGGTAATAGACTAATTTTCCTGGGAGGCCACCTGGGAAGACAAAACCTCTAAGGTGACTGCTCTGAAGCACATTTCTCACTTAGATATCAATATAACTCAATTTCACAAATAAATAGGATCCAGTTCAACATTCTCATTTTACTAACAAGAAAATGAAGTTTCTAAAAGGTAAAAAAAAATGCCCCAAATCACTGAACTATTTAGTGGCAAACTGGGGCCTAAAAGTCAGGTCTCCTAATTCCTGTTCAGTACTCGTTCCCATTCACTATGCTGCCCATAAAATTTAAGGCTTGAGAATAAAGTAGAATTGCCTTTAAAATCCAGTAGGAGTTTTAGTTTTAAATACAAGTTAAGACAACTGGAAATGGATATGGTAGGTCTAGGCCCTAAACTGGGTCTGGTTTGCAATGCCAGATCTCTTATAGCTCAACCAAAATGTATGAATGTGGGTTTGCTTATGCAGACATTAAAAAAAAATTAAAGATGAGTTTTCATCATCACTAGTAGCATTTGTTGAGCATTCACTATGCCAGACACTTTGCCAGGCCCTTTTGCTTGCAGTGCTTCATTAAATCCTCAGAACAACCCTATGGAGGTAGACACATTATATCCTCACTTTAAAGATAAAGACAGTGAGATCTACTAAGGTTGAATCATATAATCAGAGTTACTAAGCGTGGCAGGTTGTATTTTCTAAAGATGGTTATAAAAATACATTCTTTTTCTTAATAAACTTTTTTACTTTGGAGTAGTTTTAATTTTATTTATTTTATTTTTATAGAGACAGGGTATCCCTATGTTGCCTAAGCTGGTCTCGAACTCCTGGGCTCAAGTGATCCCCCCAACCTCAGCCTCCTGAAGTGCTGGGATTAGAGGTGTGAGCCACTGTGCTTGGCCTAGAGTAGTTTTAAAATTGTGATGATAGGACAGAATTTCCATACACTCTATGCTCAGTTTCCCCTAATATTAATGTCTTATGTTAGTAGATACATTTGTCACAACTAATGAAGCAATATTACATTTGTATTAACTAAAGTCCAAATTTATTTAAATTTGCTTAGTTTTTATCTCATGTTCTTCTGCACCAGGGTTCCATTAGAATACCACATTACATTTAGCCATCATGTCTCCCTTGGCTCCTCTTGGCCATGACAGTTTCTCCGACTTTCCTTGCTTTTGATGATCTAAGATTCTAAAAAGCTGAGACTGGACCCCAAGTGTATCTTACTCCAGAGAGGGTGCTTCTTAACCATACTACTAAACAATTTCCTGTAATCCAAACTGCTTGTCCTTAGGTTTGTTTGGGTTTTGCTTTTTTTTTTTTTAATAGGGACAGGGTTTCACAATGTTGACCAGGCTGCTCTTAATCGAACTACTAGCCTCAAGCGATACTCCTGCCTCAGCCTCCTAAAGCACTGGGCCTAAATTGGCAGACATATCACATTTGGAAAGTAGATCCTACAGCAATGCTTTATCTTCCAGTAACTACATTACTACACAGCATATTCAAAAGAATATATGAATGAGCTGTCACGGCATATAAGACCATGTGGCTCCAAAATATAAGTAACATCATTCTCAGTGACAAGACCAAGGAAGTTACGTATTAACTTTTTTCTTTTAAATAGCCATACATTCTTTCCACACAGTTTTGGAAAGATATATACTAGAGATTTTTTAAAATATTCAAATAATTCCTATCTGCTTTCATTTAATGGCAGGAGTGCTTATAAAATATTATTAGATTTATTATACACATTTTAGGATTAAGTTGTAGCCAGTGCTAATTATAACATGCCTGGAAAAAAAATCTAACCTACACTGATTAAAATTCTATTTATAAAGGAAAAATGTAAACCACAGAAACAGTGCTTAGTTTAGAACAAGAACATGTACATAACTGCCAAATGCAATCCCTATTTAGATGTCTGTCTTACTGAACACTGTAATCACAAAAACCAAAATGAATTTCTAAGTGTTTTAAGATGAAATAGTTTTTGCATAACTTTCAAGGCTTATAATTACTTCCCTGAAAAGGTAAATAATCCAAGTTTCAATTTATTTATAATACTAGTTCTCTAGAAGTTAACAGATTGAATACTCAGCTTTACTATACATGGAAGCCTCCTACAAAATTCAGAATCTCTCAAATTAACAATTAAATGCTAATCAAAGAAAAATTATTGGAAGTCAAAGGCCAATACTAAGTTCCTACAGCCATTTATGGATAATGCAAACCCCTAGGCTTACTGAATGGGTTTTTAAGACTCCTCGAATACTCTGGGGTAGCAAAGTATACATCTAAACTGATTGCCCAGAGAAATGAATCATTAACTACATACACGGTCTCTGCTTCCTCACTTCCCATTCCCTCCTCAATCAACTTCCCTCTTCAGTCAGCTTTCTGCCTCTACCATTCCACTGAAACCACTTTGGCAAAAAAGTCCACTTTCATGTAGCCACATCCAATAGCTACTTCTCTGTCCTCATTTTACTCTACCCTCTTGGCAGCATTCCACACGCATGGCCACTTCCTCCTTGAAATGCTAGCCTCTCTTGGCTTTTGTGACAACACTCTCCAGGTTTTCTTCTGACATCGGTGATCCTTCTCTCCTAGTTGGCTTGGTTGGCTCCCCCTCCTCTACCAGACCTCTAAATGCTGAGGCTTCCTATCACTCAGCCATCAGTTGTCTTCTCTCTATCCTTTTCCTCCTCCCTCTTCCTTTGTGCTATCTTTATGCTGATATTACCAAAATATCTCCAACACATTATCTTAGCTGCAGACCGACCCACAGGTTCATCTACTTACCTAACACTTGCGTGTAATCTTACAATGTAAATCCAGTTACATAATTTCCCAGTTTAAAAGCCTTTAACGGCTTTCCATTGAGCCTAGAGTAAAAATCGAATTACCACTCCCCTTCTACCTCTGTGCTAACTAACCTCTTCTGCCAGGTTCCCCAACAGGCCACATCCCACCTCAAGGCTTAGTGCAAACTGTCCAGGCTACCTTCTCAGACTTTGTTTCACTACCTCTGTTTCTTCCTTTAGGTTTTAGGTGTCAGCTTAATGTCAACTCCTTAAACAAGCTCTAAGGCTGACCACTACTTAAAGCAAGTTCCCCTCAATAGTGATTTTGTCTCAGTCCTGAGTGCTTCGTTTATGGCTCTCATTACAGCCAGCAGTTGTTTATTCATTTGTCTGTTTCCTGGTTTTCCACCTGTCATTCCCTCTAGAATCTTAGTTCTATAGTTCTGTAGTTGTAAGGACCATATTGATATTGTGCACTATTATATCCTCAGCAAAAAACCCCAGCACACTTTGAAAGAGCTCGAATTTTCCCCAACCCCAGAAACAGTCTCACTCTATTGCCCAGGCTAAAACTGCAATGATGGGATCACACCTCACTGCAGCCTTGAACTCCAGGCCTCAATTGATCCCCTCGCCTAGGCCTCCCAAAGAGGTGGAATTACAAGCATGAAGCATCATACCCTGCATGAAAGAGCTCAATTTCTACTTGATGGAGGGCTTAATATAAAAAAGAGAAAAAGTCAGATAAATTGATACTGTCATTTTATATTTTTTCCAGGAATTCAAAAGCTAGTATAGGCCAGGCGCAGTGGCTCAAACCTGTAATCCCAGCACTTTGGGAAGCCAAGGCAGGTAGATTACTTGAACTCAGAAGTTGGAGACCAGCCTGGGTAACATGGCAAAACCCCATTTCTACAAAGAAAAAATATAAAAATTAGCCGAGCATGGTGGTGTACACCTGTAGTCCCAGCTACTCAGGAGGCTGAGGTGGGAGGACAGCTTGAGCTATCCAAGATCGAGCCACTGCACTCCACCCTGGACAAAAGAGCAAGCCCCTGTCTGGAAAAAAGAAAAAAAGTAAGTGTAACAAATGTCGTTCAGCTGATCAGTCTTTGGCCCTTTTGCTACTTTTATATGGGGTCCTTTTTATTAAACAGAATACTAATACAACAAATATAAAAGTATTAACAGGAAAATAATGTCATTTTACATCCACAATATTTTAAATAGCCTCCAATGTGTTTTCAAAGGTTTATCTCTATGATGTAATGAGATACAGTATAAAAGGATGAAAGTGTTTAACCTGATTGAAATACAGAAGGCAGGGATTATTTCCATTTTAGAGATACAATCACTAAGGCAAAGAGGTCAATGAGTTACCTAAAATCACAGATGTTCAGTGGTGGAGCTGAGGTCCGAACTCAGTTTTCCTGGCTCCCAATCCAGTCAATCTTTTGTTTCTTTTACTTTTTTCTTTTTTGTGTTTCGTTTTGGTACATACTTTCAGCCTTCTTAAAACTGTAGTGTTCAGTAAAATACACAAATCCTAAGTATATGACTTAATAAATTTTTTACAAAGTTAGTATCCAGATCGAGACAGAGTATTGCCTGCAACCCAGAAGCCTCCTTCATGCATGTCCCTTCCCAATAATTAACTACTCCACTGGTAACCACAATTCTGAATTCTATGACCATCAGTAGTCTTACCTGTCTTTTATCTAAATGGAATTAACAAACATATACACAGCCAGGCATGGTGGCTCACACCTATAATCTCAGCACTTTGCGAGGCTGAGGCAGAGGGACTGCTTGAGTCCAGGAGTTCTAGACCAGCCTGGGTAACATGCTGAGATCCCACCTCTACAAAAATGGGAGGATAGCTTGAGCAATCCTCCACAGATGGGGATGGCGACATGAGCCTGTGGTCCCAACTACTTGGGAGGCTGAGGCAGGAGGATCACTTGAACCCCAAAGTTGGAAGCTGCAGAGAGCTATGATCACACCACTGTAGTCCAGCCTGGATGACTGAATGAGACCCTGTCCCAAAAAAAAAACCAAAGAAAATAAAAAACAAAAAACAAGTATATACTCTACTGCATCTGGCTGCTTTTATTCAACATGTCTGTGAGATTCACCCAAATAAGTAAGTGCCACAATTGTTTCTTCTTGCTCATTGCTGTACGGTATTTCACTGTATAAATATCCCAAAATGTATTCATCTATTCTGTCTGACATCTGTGTATTTTTCAAGTTTGAGCTATATGAATAATGCCATTATGAACATTCTTATTTTGTAGATGAAGAAACAAAGGCCCTAAAAAGGGAAAAAAATACTTAAAGAAACACAGCAATTGGGCAACCCAAGTATATCCCAGGAGGCTTGATTCCCCTTTTACAATGTAACACAAGTCAGCAAGTCCATCTGAATCTTAACCTAAAGATCTTAAAAAATCTTGGACAATACAAAACCAAGTCTTAAGTTACAAATACTATGCCAAAGATTACTGTAGTTTCTGGTTATGAAAGTTACTTCATTTGTTTATGTGTGTCTATGTTTGGTTTTTTAAATTTATGTATCTACCTACCTACCTACCTACCTACCTATCTATCTATTTATTTATTTATTGACAGGTTCTCATTCTGTCATCCAGACTGGAGTGCAGTGGCACAATCATGGCTTACTGCTCCTGGGCTCAAGTGATCCTCCCGTCTCAGCCTCCTAAGTACTAGGACTATAGGCACACACCACTACACTCAGCTAAGAAGTAACTTATTTTTACACATATAACTATTCTATAGAGATTTACCTCATCTACAGTCAAATAAAATTTTGTTTCCCAGATTAGAAATGTACCAAATTGGGAATTCTACCAGAATATGAACAGAGAAAACAGTCCCAACTTATGAGCAGGTAGCATGCTAAAACTCTGCATTTAAATCAGCTGTTTGGAATTCAGAATGCATTTTCCCACAAAAATTATGTTATAAAAAGTGATCAGGTTTTCACGTCAGCCTACAAAAGCCAACTTCACAAAAATGTACCTGAAAATAGCACTAATAACAACACAGTCTTTAACCATTATGAATAAATGCTTAACTTCAAATAATGATTTATAAAACTATCTCCTAACACCCCAATCTCGTGTTAACTCATAAACTGTGGGAGGCCCAGTTCCAAATGCTTCTGTAACTGGCTTATGCCTTTTTTTTTTTTTTTTTTTAATCCCTCACTAACACTTTTGACTTTACGTTCCCAAATCCTGGGCCACAGAATTCAGACCACAAAATTCCTTAATTCCTATCCCTTAAGTAAATCTTTGAGATTTTTCACTGCTAGAAAAACTTTCAGGGGGGAGAGAGAGAAATTAGAAAAACAGAAGGAAAATCGTAAAATTTCAAGAAGTCTTAAAAAGTTGTTCTGTTTTTACCAAAACGGGCACAGAGTCAGGTAGGATTTTTCTAACCTCCTACTTTCATTAAAATATTCTTCTCGGGAGCCCTGCTCAATCTTTCTAGACTTCTTAAAATCCTAGGCTGGCCACCTCTGAGTGTCTCTCCTTTCACTAGGAAAGCCTCCAATTTAATTTCTTCTCACATTCCTTCTCATTACTCAGGGATAGCCTAAATGGAAAGATAAAGTGATATGTTGATAACATCAAGTCTTTAGGTATGCGCAGAAGTGAAATCAGGGAGAGATGAAGCCTAAGGGGTGCTCAGGCCATTAGGGTCACAATCTGTGACTTAGTTGTATACCAGTTAGAGGCTATATACAGATACTTTGGAGCAAACAAACCATTTCATAAATGGACACCAAACAAGTATCCAGAAATGAGAATGACCTACCTTATATATCACAATATAATATTCCTTTCTTCTTTAAGGCTCACATTATCTTTCCAGTAATTAGACCGAAGATGTATTCCATATTTTCTCCAAACAACAAGCACTAACCTGAATACACCACAAACAGGTACAATCCAAGGCATCAAAAGGCTAGCTCTAATTTGATGAAATTAATTTACCTACAAATGGAGAAATCGATTTCTATTTAGTCTAGGTGATAAAAACAAAAAGGACAACAGCTATCCTAGCCTTAAAATCCAATAAAGAGGGTGGTAAATGTCTCTGAAAATCAAAAGAAACCTACAAGTCATAAATGCCCTCAAAGGATTCTTAGGCACAGGAACAAGCGTTGATTCACTAAACATCAAAGAATGGATGCTTTAAAGAAAAAAGAAGGTAAGATTGTGTCATTCTATCAAGTAAGTCTTTAGAGTAAGTAAAATACCTTATGGGCCAAAAATTAAAATGAACTGCAAAACTTATGTACAAATTATTAACTATCACTTCTGTGACTGAAGCTAATAAGAGAATCACACACTTAAGTATGACAGTGTAAAGAGGTATCCAAAAGTAATTTGAGCTAGCTTAATACAGACAACTAAATACACCCTCAGAGAGCTGACAGCCTGTAAGCCAGCAGTCCCCAGCCTTTTTGGCACCAGGAACTGGTTTCATAGAAGACGATTTTTCCATGGATGGCAGGGGCAGGGGAAGGGGTGGTTTCAGGATTCAAGCACATTACATTTATTGCGTACTTTATTTCCACTATTACTACTACACTGTAATATATAATGAAATAATTATACAACTCACCATAATGGTAGAATCGGCGAGCGTTCTGAGCTTGTTTTCCTGAGACTAGATGGTCCTATCTGGGGATGATAGGAGACAGTGACAGATCATCAGGCATTAGATTCTCCTAAGGAACATGCAACCTAGATCCCCTGCAAGCACAGTTATAGGGCCTGCGTTCCTGTAAGAATCGAATGCAGTGGCGGATCTGAGCAGAGGTGGAAATCAGGAGATAATTCAAGTGATGTGGAGTGGCTGTAAAGACAGATGAAACTTTGATTGCTGTCCTGCCATTCACCTCCTACCCACTATTATTTTACATAAACTGGTCCTGGTTCCAACACTTACTGTGTGACCCTGGGCAAATTATTTAACCTCTCTGGGTCCCAATATCTACACAAATAAATTGGACTAAAAGTGGTAGCTACTTAAAGACTATTGTGAGGATTAAATGACAAAGTAAACTGTCTTCAGCAGCTCCAGGAACAGAGTAAATCTTCAATAAAGGTTAGCTACTTTATTTCATCCTCTTGATGCATTAGTTACTTGAAATCACATCTATGACCTATACTACCTTTGGAACCTTCACAATGCCCCAGGACAGTGCTTAAGGTCCAGTGAATGTTCAATATTTATTGGCTGACGACTACTGGTTTATATGGAAGCTAGAACCATGAAGCTGAAGAAGACTTTAGAAGTCATCTGGAAAAGTTTCACTCTATTCAAAAATAAGACTCATAGTGGATTATCAAATCTTCACTTGAACACTTATAGAGAGAGAAACCTGCATCTCAACAAAGCATAAAGGAATAGTTCTAATTATTAGAATGTTCCTTGAGATTTCATTATACTGAAATCTTCTCAAAATCTTGCTTCTCAAAATATTTCTGAAAGGCTGAATTCACTAGAGGGCATCACATATTAGGAGAAACTGTATCAGAAAGAATCACTAAAAGGAAGGAATCATTCAACATTTATTCTGGCTAAAAGAAAAATACTGGGCTGAGTTGTATAAAACAGGCATGCCAATTTAAAAATTATTCTATTTAAACATGCATTAAAATGTTCAGAATGAATTAAAATGAAGATTCTGACAAATTAGGTCAAAAATCATAATAACTGCAAATGTTGTTGTATAGGTCAGTAATCCAGATTATCATAGAGCTGGGACTCTTTCCAACCCCATTATATAGCCTCCAATAATTGTATGCAATTTTAACGGTTACATGTTTATTTAAAAAAAGCATATAATACCAGATTACATTTAATACTGCCCCTTGCAGCCAGCCTCCAAGTCACCACCAGCTATCCAAAAAAGACCCAGTGCCAAAAAGAAAATTATAAGTTTCCATAAGACTAGTAAGGGACCATGACTCAATTTTGTAATCCCAGAACTGTGGGAGTCTGAGACAGAAGTATCACTTGAGCCCAGGAGTTCTAGACCAGCCTGGGCAACACAGTGAGACTCTGCCTCTACAAAAAAAAAAATTTATTAACCAGTGGTGGTGGCACATGCTTGTAATCCCAGCTGCTTGGAAGGCTGAGGCAGAATAATCACTTGAGCCCAGGAGTTCAAGGATACAATGAGCTATGATTGTGCCACTGTACTCCAGCCTGGGCAACAGTTAGACCCTGTCTCACACACACAGAATAAGACTAGCAAGGTAAATCTGAACCTGGATCTGTGTATAACTAACAAATTTAAGGCCAGGTGTGGTGGCTCATGCCTGTAATCCCAGCACTTTGAGAGACCAAGGTGGGAGAATTGCTTGAGCCTAGGAGTTCCAGACCAGCCTAGGCAACAAAATGAGACCTCATCTCTACAAAAAATTTTTTAAAAATTAGCCATGTGTGGTGGTGCACACCTGTGATCCCAACTACACAGGAGGCTGTGCCAGGAGGATCACTTGAGCCCAGGAGGTCAAGGCTACTGTGAGCTGGGATTGTGCCACTGCACTCCAGCCTGGGTGATAGAGTGAGGCCCTATTTAGAAAAAAAAAAAAAAAAGTTAAATTATTTAAAACCAAATCATTAAAACTGTTCATTCATTAACCAGGTAATAGCACAATTTTAAAAGCTCATCAGGCTCAAAGAGGATCCAGAACTGTACTCAAATATCTGTGGCACACGCCTGTATTCCCAGCTACTCAGAAGGCTAAGGCAAGAGGATCAAGGAGTTCAAGCCCAGCTTGGGCAACATAGCAAGTCCCTGTCTCTTAAATTTAAAAAACATCTTTTAACCCCCACTCACTGCAAGTCACAGTAACATGTAGAGAAAAATCTGATGGAAAACTAGGCATGATTTATAGCACACCTCTACACTTTATCAGATTCTGTTTGATGGGAGCTATTTTACAACACTGTATAGACTATGGGTTAACTGAGGGACATGTAAATTCTATCCTGTCAGGGAGCAGGTTCAGTTGTCCTCCTGAGCTTCTCCCCAGCTCCCTCTCCCCAACAAACCAGTTTGTCTCCACTTGGGTCCATTTCAACATTTCTTTACTCCATATAAATTTGTGGGTTATTTTACTTTTCCATTGAAACAGGTATAACATTTGCCTTCTTCCCTGATTATGAGTTTTTCTTTAACACATGTATTTTCATAGCTGCATAAGTCATTATATTATCTTTAACACATTACACAGTTTTCTTATTATTGGTAAGATGTTGTTTGATACTCAGATACCAACACAAAAACAATCCAAACAGTGAATTGGACTGGAAAGGTCCACTGCCCATGTAAACTAATAAACAAGCCTTTGGGTTTTGAAAATCAATCCCTTATAAATTTCACTGGTATAAATTAGCACTGCATAAAACTAGGAAACCAGGTTTCAGAACCTTTAGAGCCAATATTCAGACTGCAGATAATGGTGAAGACATGAACTCTAGCAACCACAACCTGTTGCCCACTCATCTTCATTCCCTGTAAACAGTTAAAACAACTGAGGAAAATGGTCAATCCAATAGCACAATTTGTTTCAGATGATTTAAAAAAATAATTTTGGTAGACTCTGCTCCATAGAACGCATCCATGTTCATCTATCCATCCACAGAAGTAGGTTAATTTTTATGTCACTGAAGAAATCAACACAAAAAGTCTTTGTTTAGGTTCATAAATTATCACGATTATAAGGAATTATAGAATAAATAAAGGGATGAAAAAACATGTTGATAACCAAATTAAAGAGGATGTTCCAGATGCGGGTGACCCAAATCAGGAGAATCAGGTGGCTTTTAAGCTTACCAGGTTCTCTTCCGTCTACCTGCTCTCCTTATCCCAAGGACACTAACTTAAAAGAAAGATCGTAATAGATTCAGATTCCTTTTACTATAAGAAGCATACAACCCGCCCTCCTTGTTCAGAACTTTATATATATGTATACACACATACATATATATGTCTTCATAATAGCATATGCAACTGTCATATGGTAGTTATATATGTAATACAGTTAGACACATATAACTGTCTAACATATGTAACTGTCATACATATATAATTTTCCTATACACATAATGAATTAATCAGAAACATTCACTCCAGACAAACTATTTTCCAAGATGGAAATCTCTCTCCTGACTGGTGAGGCCATGGATATATGGTACACAAATATCAACTATATTCAGAGACAACAAATCATTTTTTTTTCAACTCCAGAGAAGACAGAAAGGCATAATTATGATTTAATGCAAAAATAGTTGCAACACACTATCCACAGCCAATCTTTTTTCTTCCTCATCACTGTGACTTAAAAGTTTCATCTAATGCATTAGCTAGACATGGCACAAAATGTTCCATTACAAGGTATTGTGGGGGGCAGGTAGGAGGGACTGGCAAGACTTGTGGAGACAAAATATTCTAATAGAACCTGGGTTTCTTCCTAAAAATATTTAGGAAAACTGAAAATTCCTGAAATTACCTGGAAAGGTAATCACCTCCTGACTCCCTGCAAAAAAATGTTTTTAAGATCTGGCCTACCATAAACATTTTGCATAAAACCTATCTGAATGTCATTAAAATGACTACAAAAACACAACAGAACACTTTACCAAATGCAAGAATAATGTGCATTCTGACACTAGGGGCACTTCCACTTTTATAAGAAAAGAAAAAGTTTCCATTTGTCTGAGCAACTTCTGATGCAACATTAGTAATTACAGTCCTTTCCTCCAGTGTAGGCCTCATAAACAAAAACTGGTTGATGTTTATAAACATTTATCTCAAATCAAGAAAGAAATTAACACAAAATAAAACATTAAAAGGCTTAATCTGGGCAAATTTTCCAGTTTTACAAGCCAGTGACAAAAAGTAAAGCCTTAGAAGGGGCTTAATTATCAACTCCAACAGTTTAGAGAGTAAAACCAAATAAACAAGTGGAATCTTCTATTCAGTGAGTTCTGAAAGTCTTGTCTCCTTTTAACTCCTTTTCCATAAATGCTTTCTGTATATTCTTGCCCATGTAAGCCCTAAGGACAAAAATTACAACCATGTGGATGTTTCTTCTGTTCTCAATTTTGAGACTATGTCCCATAAACTAGCAAAAATTTTAAATTAGCTTCTTTAAAGTTTTCCAGTTAACTCCACTCAGAAGAATGTTAAAGATTTAAAAGAAAAGGGCACTATGAAAAACCCACAGCAATGGTTCATGACAATGATGTTCATATTTCATGCTCAGGGATAAAGTGACTACAAGCTTTCCCCCTAAAATCAAGAATAAGACAAGGATGATTGCTTTCACCACTGTTATTCAACATTGTACTAGAATTTCTAGTGAGAACAATTAGGCAAGAAAAATAAATAAAATTCATCCAAATCAGAAGGAAGAATCTGCACATGACATGATCCTATGTATAGAAAATCCTTAGGAACCCACAAAAATACTACTAGAGCTAATAAATTCAGCAAAGTTGAAGGGTACGAGATCAACACACAAAAACCAACTATGTTTCTACGCACCAGTAATAAACAAACCGAAAGGAAAATTAGTAATTCCATTTACAATAACATCAAAAGAATAAACCTAGGAATAAATTTAACCAAGGAGGTAAAAGACACTTTGAAAACCACAAAACATTAACAAATTAAGGAAAATCTAATATATGGAAGGATATACCAGGTTTAGGGATTAAAAGACAATACTGGCCAGGCACAGTGGCTCACGCCTGTGATCCCAGCACTTTGGGAGGCTGAGGCGGGTGGATCACTTGAGGTCAGGAGTTCAAGACCAGCCTGGGCAACATGGCGAAACCCTGTCTCTACTAAAAATACAAAAACTAGTCAGGTGTGGTGGCACACACCTGTAGTTCCAGCTACTCAGGAGGCTGAGGCAGAAGAATCGCTTGAACCCGGGAGGCGGAGGTTGCAGTGAGCTGAGATCACACCACTGCACTCCAGCCTGGGCAACATTGTGAGACTCTATCTTAGAAAATAAATAAATAGGCCGGGTGCAGTGGCTCATGCCAGTAATCCCAGCACTTTGGGAGGCCAAGGCAGGTGGATCACGAGGTCAGGAGTTCAAGATCAGCATGGCCAAAATGGTGAAACTCCGTCCCTACTAAAAATACAAAAAATTAGCCAGGCGTGGTGGTGGGCGCCTGTAATCCCAGCTACTCGGGAGGCTGAGGCAGAGAATTGCTTGAATCCGGGAGGCAGAGGTTGCAGTGAGCCAAGATCGCACCACTGCACTCCAGCCTGGGCAACAGAGCAAAACTCTGTCTCAAAAAAAAAAAAAAAAGAATGAATAAATAAATAAAATGAAAATAAATAAATAAAAGACAATACTATTAACATGGCAATACTACTCAAAGCAATCTACAGACTCAATTCAATCTCTATCAAAATTCCAATAACTTTTGCAGAAATGGAAAAGCCAATCACCAAATATGAATGGAATTCCAAGTGGTTCCAAGCAGCCAAAACAACACTGAAAAAGAACAAAGTTGGAGGACTCACACTTCCTAATTTCAAAACTTACTAAGAGGCTACAGTAATCAAAACAATGTGGTACTGAAACTGCCTTTGCAAAATTATAACAGTGAGAAAACCCTAACGTAGCTGACTCCATCTTGCTTCTAACCTCATAAGCTGTCTCTGCTCATTCCTGCACATAGGCCAAGCCAACTATGGGAGGAATTTAGTTTGTATTTTAACTTTAAAGCAAATATGATAATAGTCCTTTCCCAAAACTAACCCCCTCCTTGTTTAGAGACCAAAACCATCTTTGTAAAAAATAACAAAAGGACACAAGGTCAGAATTACAGTAGGAGCCTGAATTCTGCTAAGACTTAAGCATAGTTAAATAATAACAAGACACTATTTTCTAACTTGTCTTTTTTGTAATTACTTACTAGACAGGAGTCACTAGCCAGTGGTCATAAGACTTGTAACTTCCCCGATTACCCCAATAGATTACCTCATTATTGTAAAACCCAAGGCTGATTCTTGAGGTATTTTTCAGACCTCGTGTTCTGGTGGACCAACTGATGCCACCTGGGTTACTCATACCATGAAATTGACTCAACTGGCCCTGTAACCCCCACCCGAAACTGACTCGACACACAAGACCATTTTGACACTCGTGTGATTTCATTCCTGACCCAACCAATCAGATGCAGATTCTTGCTGGGCGTGGTGACTCATGCCTGTAATCCCAGCACTTTGGGAGGCTGAGGCGGGTGGATCACTTGAGGCCAGAAGTTTGAGACTAGCTTGGCCAACACAGCGAAACGCCATCTCTACTAAAAAATACAAAAATTAGGGCCAGGTGCAGTGGCTCATGCATGTAATCTCAGCACTTTGGGAGGCCGAAGCAGGTGGATCATGAGGTCAGGAGATCGAGACCATCCTGGCTCTCTACTAAAAATACAAAAAATTAGCTGGGCACAGGTGGCACATGCCTGTAGTCCCAGCCAGGTGTGGTGGTGGGCACCTGTAGTCCCAGCTACTCAGCAGACTGAGGCAGAAGAATCGCTTGAACCCCAGAGGCGGAGGTTGTAGTGAGTCCAGATCACACCACTGCACTCCACCCTGGGTGACAGAGCTAGACTCCGTCTCAAAAAAAAAAAAAAAAAAAAAAGAAGAGACCTGTAGCCCAATTAATTGAGAGTCCAGAATTATGACCATACATCTATGGCCAACTGATTTTCAACGAGGGTGCAAAGACCATTCAATGGAGAGAGAACAATATCTGTAACAAATGATACTACTGGATAGCTACATGCAAAAGAAGGAAGGTGTCCTCAAACTCATTCAAAATCTATCAAAAACCTAAACACAAAAGATAAAACTATAAAATTCTTATACGAAAACAAAGGTAAATCTTCACAACCTTGGATTTGGCAAGGGATTGTTACATGTGACACCAGAAACATGAGCAACAAAAGAAAAAAAAAATCAACTGGACTGCATCCAGATGAAACACTTTTGCACGTGAAAGACCACCATCAAGAAAATGAAAAGACAACCCACAGAATGGAAGAAAAATTCACAAGTCAAGGGTCTAGTATCCAGAATACATAAAGAACTCTTACAACTCAACAACAAAAAGACAAATAACTTTTTTAAATGAGTAAAGGACTTGAATAGATATTTCTCCAAAGAAAACATACAAATGGTTGATAAGCATAAGAAAAGCTACTCAACATCATACATCATTGGGGAAATGCAAATCAAAACCACAATGAGATATCACTATATACCCACTAGCATGGGCACAATTTTAAAAATGGAAAATAACAAGCATTGGTAAGGATGCAGAAAATTTGCAACCCTCATATATTGCTGGTGGGAATGTAAAATAGCAGTTTCTCAAAGAGTTAAATAAACCTTGAAAACATTATACTAAGTGAAGAAGACACAAAAGGTCACGTATTGCATAATTTCATTTATATGAAATATTCAGAATAGGCAAATCCATAGAAATGAAAGCAGACTGGTGGTTGCCAGAGGCTGGGTAGAAGGGAGCAACTGCTTAATGGTACACAGTTTCCTTTGAGGTGATAAAAATGTTTTGAAACTAGACAGCAGTGGTGGTGGCACAACACATGAATGTACTCAATGCCACTGATTTGTCCACTTTAAAATGCTTAATTTCTTGTACAGTAAATTTCACCTCAATTAAAAAAAAAACAGATATATATCAAATGGCTATTTTTTTTCCCAACTATCCACAGTGGAGGTCATTTACAAATGACCACAATGGAAATTTCAATTAATTTTGCAGGGCAATTGCCAAGTCAATCCTAAGCCAAAAGAACAAAGCTGGAGGCATCACACTACCTGACTTCCAACTATACTACAAGGCTACAGTAACCAAAACAGCATGGTACTGGTACCAAAACAGAGAGAGAGACCAATGGAACAGAACAGAGCCCTCAGAAATAATACCACACATCTACAACCATCTGATCTTTGACAAACCTAACAAAAACAAGAAATGGGGAAAGGATTCCCTATTTAATAAATGGTGCTAGTGCTGGCAAAACTGGCTAGCCATATGTAGAAAGCTGAAACTGGATCTCTTCCTTACACCTTATACAAAAATTAATTCAAGACGGATTAAAGACTTAAATGTTAGACCTAAAACCATAAAAACCCTAGAAGAAAACCTAGGCAATACCATTCAGGACATAGGCATGGGCAAGGACTTCATGTCTAAAACACCAAAAGCAATGGCAACAAAAGCCAAAACTGACAAATGGGATCTAATTAAACTAAAGAGCTTCTGCACAGCAAAAGAAAGTACCATCAGAGTGAACAGGCAACTTACAGAATGGGAGACAATTTTTGCCATCTACTCATCTGACAAAGGGCTAATACCCAGAATCTACAAAGAACTCAAACAAATTTACAAGAAAAAAATCAAACAACCCCATCAAAAAGTGGGCGAAGGATATGAACAGACACTTCTCAAAAGAAGACATTTATGCAGCCAACAGACACATGAAAAAATGCTCATCATCACTGGCCATCAGGGAAATGCAAATCAAAACCACAATGAGATACCATCTCACACCTGTTAGAATGGCGATCATTAAAAAGTCAAGAAACAACAGGTGCTGGAGAGGATGTGGAGAAATAGGAACACTTTTACACTGCTGGTGGGACTGTAAACTAGTTCAACCATTGTGGAAGACAGTGTGGCGATTCCTCAAGGATCTACAGCTAGAAATACCATTTGACCCAGCCATCCCATTACTGGGTATATACCCAAAGGATTATAAATCATGCTGCTATAAAGACACATGCACACATGTTTATTGTGGCACTATTCACAATAGCAAAGACTTGGAACCAACCCAAATGTCCATCAATGATAAACTGGATTAAGAAAATGTGGCACATATACACCATGGAATACTATGCAGCCATAAAAAAGGATGAGTTCATGTCCTTTGTAGGGACATGGATGAAGCTGGAAACCATCATTCTCAGCAAACTATTGCAAGGACAAAAAACCAAATACCACGTATTCTCACTCATAGGTGGGAATTGAACAATGAGAACACTTGGACACGGGAAGGGGAACATCACACATCGGGGCCTGTCGTGGGGTCGGGGGAGAGGGGAGGGATAGCATTAGGAGATATACCTAATGTAAATGACGAGTTAACGAGTGCAGCACACCAACATGGCACATGTATACATATGTAACAAACCTGCACGTTGTGCACATGCACCCTAGAACTTAAAGTATAATTTAAAAAAAATAAAAAATAAATTTTGCAGGGCAAGCTTCTGATTATAATACAATAAAACTAAGAGTAATTCAAAACAAACAACCCTAAAGATTTGAAATTCTTAAGCCTTCCTAAATAACTGTTGAATTAATGAAAAAATTAAAAATATATAAGACTTGTAGTTCCCATATGCTGATGTTAATCCAGATTACCAGGGGGTGGGGAGCTTGTTAAAAATGCAGAAGCTCAGGCCCTATACCCAGTGTTAAGTAGAATTGGAATATCTGCATTTTTAATAAGCCTGCCAGCTGAGACTGATATTCACCAAAGTTTAGAACCAGTGCAACAGAATATTTAGAAAAAATATAAAGACATCGCATATCAAAAGTTACAGGATTCATACAAAGCTGTACTGAAATAGTTTCTAAAATAGTATTTAAATAAACAGAACATAAACTAAGCAATGCAAATTTTAAAATCAAGCAGTCAAATTTTTAAAATAAAAGGTGTGATTAAAAAACAAAAATAGAAATATGGATGACAGTAAAAATGATTGATTAGATAACAACACACAGAAAGGGTCAGGCACATTGACTCATGCTTACAATCCCAGCACTTTGGGAAGCCAAGGTGGGAGGATCACTTGAGTCTAGGAGCTCCAGCCCAGCCTAGGTGGCAGTGAGACCCTGTCTCAAAGAAAAAAAAAAGAAAGCAGGAAAGAAAGAAAAGAAAAGAAAAGAAAAAAAGAAAACACAGAAAAAACAGCGGAACTTTAAAATGAGCTTGGTTCTTTATGAAAAAATTTACAAAGTCCTAACAATTCTAATAAAATAAAGAATTATCAAATAGGTAAAAGCAGAATTAGGAAATTTAATCATTTTTAATAAAGCAAGAAAAATAGTTTGTCAGCAAACTGAAAAAATACAACTCATCTAGACAACTCTAAGGAGTTACTTTATCAAAAATATAAGAAATTATATGTCAGTAAAAAAAATCAGAAAAAAATTAATTGTAACATTAGTTATATAATCTACCACTTGGTTGAAAAAAATAAAATTTGGGGAAAGTTTTAACAAAATGCAATGGACTTGAAATTCTTTCTGTTAAAGAAGACTTTTGTTCTTTCATGCCACTTCACTAATAAGAGAAATAAATACACTTTATTGTCCTCAATTCAAAAGCAAATCTCAAAATAATATAAATGATTCTAAATTACTCACTTTCCAGGCTTAAAAAAAGTCAAAATATTTCCTTATTAACTTTACTATTGAGGTTAACTTTTCATTTTAATGTCATTTTGGTAGAGTGTTTAGCCTGTTATTCAACACTGAGAACCAATAAATAACGGTGATTAGCAAAGAGTAGATAAGAATTAAGTGCTATTCACAATAATTAACATAGTAAATATAATGAATGAATCTTTCTTGTTTTAATAAAAGGGGCACAGCCCTTTTGTCTTTAGGGTGTACAGTAGTTTCCTATCGCTGCTGTAACAAGTTACTTGGTGGCTTAAAACAGAAAGTTATTCTCTTCCACTCCTAGAGGCCAAAAAAAGTCTGAAAGCAGTATCATTAGAACAAAAGCAAGGTCACACTCCCTCCAAAGGCTCCAGGTGAGAATCTGTTCCTTGCTTATTCCAGCTGTTGATGGCTGTGGGAATGCCTTGACTTGTGGCCGTTAACACTCAAATCTCTACCTCCTGGTCCAACTGCCTCCTCCTCCTCTGTGTACGTATAATCTCCCTCTGCCTCACTTTGATAAACATACACAGGATTGCTTTTAGGGACCACTCACATAATCCAGGATAAGTGCCCTAGACATCAAGATCCTCAATTTAATTACAAAAACCATTTTTTTTAACATACAAGGTAACATTTCACAGGTTCCAGGATTAGGACTTGAATATTTTAGAGAACCATTTTCAGCCTACCACAGAGGATCTCTTTAAAAACCTAACAGGCCTGGCCAGGCATGGTGGCTCATGCCTGTAATCCCAGCTCTTTGTGGGCAGACTGCTTGAGCTCAGGAGTTTGAAACCAGCCTGGGAAACATGGCAAAATTCCATCTCTATGTAAAAAATAAAACAAAAAGTAAATAAAAATTTAAAAAGAACAAAAACAAAAAAACCCTAATAGGCCAAGCCTTTTCGTCAGGAATTAGATACTATCCTAGTCTCCAGATTTACAATGACAAGGTCATAGGCCTTCTGACCCTAGACACTGCAAACAAACACCACTGAAATTAACTCGGGAATTTCATCAGGTGCACAGGAAACTATCACAGGGTATATCCATTTGCCCCAAGAATACAAGAGAAGTTTTGTCTGTTTCACTGTATGAGTTAAATTCTGCTCAAATTTTGTAGTCTCAAACTACCTATCTGCACGTATCTGACATGCAAATAAAAACAGAGCGTTCTTTCTCTTCTACATTGGTAAGAAGGGGTCTTTTTGTTGGCAAGATTTTCTTATTGCCCCAACATACTTTATAGAGTTGGGTAATAATAAACTAAGTTTTTAAATAAATTTGAGACAAACTACTTTCCAAAGGCAGCAAAATTTATTTTTATCCTCTAAATTTTTCCAGACACACAATTTCAAGACCCACTAGCCCTTGAATCTCCTCCAGAATCAAGCAGTTTCATTCCATAAAATCAAAATAAATTCCAGATGAATTAAAGAGTTACATGTAAAATATGAAAACATTATAGAATTACAATAGGAAAATGGGCCAAGAATCAAGAGTCACATACAAAAATGAACACTAAAAAAAAAGGGAAAGAAATCAGACTAATATGTAGCATGACACCATGTTTCCAATTACTTTTTCATATTTGACAATGATAGTATCCAGCAAAGTGAGGGCATAGGAAAATAAGGCCTCAAACATACAATTGCTAAGAGAATCAACTGATAGAGCCCTTTTAAAAGGCAAATTCAGCATGGCTGGCAAATTATAAAACACATATACATTTTTACACAATAATTTCATTCTAATCTATCCTACAAAAGTACTCATAAAAGTAAGAAAAGATAAAAATGCTCACGGAGGCACTATTTGTATGTGAAAATTAGAAATAGTATAAACGTCCATCAACAGAGAAATGGTTAAATTATGGCATAGCCATATAACTGGAATATTATGCAACCAGTTTTTAAAAAGTGAAGCACAGTCATCTAATATCCATGGGGGATCTGTTCCAGGGCCTCTTGAGGACATCAAAATCAACATATGCACAAGTTCCTTATATAAAATGACATCATATTTGCATATAGCCTGCTCACATCCTCCAAAATACTTTATCTCTAAATTACTCATAGTATCTAATACAATGTAAATGCTATATAAATAGTTATATTGTTTAGGGAACAATGACAAGAAAAAAGTCTGTACATGTTCAGTGCAGAGGCAATTCTTTTTCAAATATTTTTGATCCATGGTTGGTTGAATCTATGAATGCAAAACCTGTGGATACAGAGGGGCTGACTATACATTAACATAAGCAGTCATTCAGAAAGGTAGACATGACCCGTGAAGTGAAGAAAGCAACTTACAAAATAATGAATGACTCTGTTTTTAATTAAAGGAGAAAACAAAAAAAGAAATCTCTATGTATGATAACGTTTATATATTAATAGAAACCATGTTTTCAAAAAATCTTATGACATGGGAAAATCCTAATAATATAAAGTGAAAAAAGTAGGTTACAAAATTGTATAGGTAATGACATAAATAAAAGTAGCATAATAAAAATAAACATGGTTATCAACTATCTCTGAGTAATGTAATTCTGATCTGTTCTTCATATATTTTTTATAAATATATAAATGTATAAATATTACTTATATAGCATTCAAGTTGACTTTTTTTATTAAGAGAGAGGATCTTGCTATGTTGCCCAAACTGGTGTTGAACTCCTGAGCAACTAAAGCAATCCTCCTGCCTCAGCCTCCCAAGTAGCTGGCACTCCCAAGTAGCTGGTCAGGAGAGATTCTAACCCTAAAAAATACCAAGAGATTGGGTATAATGATGTGAGTTCATGTACAAAGAAGACTTTTTAAAACTATCTATTTACCAAAACTTATCTATGCTAAAGAATGCTCCCTATTCAGACTGGTTACTTTGAATATGTTTATTCTCATGTTCTACTACCAAAAAATTTTTGAACTTTTATAGTTTAAAATTTCCTTTGATCAGCTCACGTAACACAAAAAAAGGTAATTCTTATAACATAATCACCCAACCTTATCACGCAGGCTAGCCCCGAAATAGATTTTGGTTCATTCTAAACAACTCTAGCTTCAAAGGACAAAGCTTTAGCACAAGCTCTGTCAGTTAAAAGACTATGCTGCAACTTTCAACTTGTCTGGGGACAAGGAATAGACCCTGGTTTCAGAAGTTTCCCCCAGATAAACTTAAGTATTCATTGTCATCAGCACTGCCTTTCCAGTTCACTCATGGTCTTCCTGAGCAGAAGGGTCCTCCCCTCAGTCACAATTCTCAAAATCCTACCATCTCTTCAATGCTAAGCTCAAGATACACCTGCTTAGTGAAGCTGTGCCCCTTTTGAACTCTAGAAGCATCTTATCACCTGTACTACTGACTTGGTCAGCATGTGTTATTTTTATACGGACATTCTTTTCATATACTCTAACTTTCCAATTATACACTTTCATCTCCAGTGCAACTTACTGGAGATACAAACTGAGTGCCCCATCCAAGAAACACAATAGGTGCTTGTTTTCTTTTGTTGTATATAAAGACTGGGACAGCATTAATTTGAGCCTATTGGACTCCAGTGGGCCTTGAATGGCTGCCTGCAAATAATGGGTTTTATCCTACAGTAATGGAGAGTAACTGAAAGTTCTGAGTTCAAAAATGATGTGATAAAAGTTTAATTTAGGCCGGGCGCGGTGGCTCACGCCTGTAATCCCAGCACTTTGGGAGGCCGAGGCGGGCGGATCACGAGGTCAGGAGATCGAGACCATCCTGGCTAACACAGTGAAACCCCGTCTCTACTAAAAAACACAAAAAAATTAGCCGGGCGTGGTGGCGGGCGCCTGTAGTCCCAGCTACGCGGGAGGCTGAGGCAGGAGAATGGCGTGAACCCGGGAGGCGGAGCTTGCAGTGAGCCGAGATCGCGCCACTGCACTCCAGCCTGGGCGACAGAGCGAGACTCCGTCTCAAAAAAAAAAAAAAAAAAGTTTAATTTAGAAAAAGTGGTCCACAGCAGCCAGATTAGAGGAGGGTAATAATGTCTACAGCAAGGAAGATAGTTGGCCCAACCCAAAGGGTTAAGTAAAGGGCTTTAAAGTCAGAAAGCACTGACTTCTCCAACACTTCCTTGCTCTGTGACAATGGGCAAGTTATGGCTTTCCTTACCAGTAAAACAAAGATGATAAAATCAGACCTGGGCCAGGCCTGGTGGCACACACCTGTAGTCTCAGCCACTCAGGAGGCTGAGGCAGGAGGACCGCTTCAGCCTAGGAGTTCAAGACAAGTGGAGGCAACATAGTGAGACCCCGTTTCAAAAAACAAACAAACAAAACACCAACAACAACAAAAACACCAAAAACTAACTAGAAACAAATAAAAAAAAATCTAGGTCTTACCATGGTGGGCATTACATGAAATAATGCATGCAGCGCACATACCACAATGCCTGTCAAAGGGTAAGCACACTGCACTCTGAGACCAATTCTCTGACACCAACTAGGTGTCCTACAATTCAACTCAATTCTGACACTACCTGGAGTTCGTATCAGATCCCACAAGTTAAAGAGCAAGGTTTCCAACAAGACTGCCCTCACTTCAGTTATCCCCATGCTATCCACACTAATGTCCAACTTGGCTACAAATTCAGAGATTCCCAAAACCTCCCTTCAGTTTCAACGATTCTCACAGAAATCAGTGAAAGCACTATACAATCACAGTTTCATTATAAAGGCTACAACTCAGGAACAGCCCAATGGAAGAGGTGCACAGAGCAAGGGCAAGGTCTAGGAAAGAGGGCAGAGGGATGCAAAGCTTCCCTGCTCTCCCCTGAAGAAATCCAGGTGTCATCTTCCTAGCAAACCAGTATGTTCACTGCTATTCCAGGGTTTTTATATGGGGCTTCATGACCTAGGCATCAGTGATTAAATCACTAGCCAGATGACTGGGCTCTGCTATCTAGTCACTGCCCCCTCCCCAGAGACCAGGGGATGGGGCTAAAAGTTCCAAGGTCTCTCTGATGTGGACAGCTCCTTTCCTGAACTATCTAAGGGCCCACCCAGAGTCACCTTATTAGGATAAACTCAGGTGTGGTCAAAAGAGACTCTTGTTATGAATAACAAAAGATACATCTATAAGGAAATCCCAAGATTTTTTGAAGCTCATTGTCAGGAACCGAAGACAAAAGCCAGATATAATAGATTCTTCATCATATCACATACACAAGAAATGGAGACTATTATTTCAGAAACCGACTAGTAGACTACTGAAGTAACGCAAGCATAAAGATCAGGAGAAAAAACATCAAAAGCATTACAAAAGCAGCAGCAATAGAAAAAGGCTGAGGGGGAGGGTGTCGAAATTATCTAAGAAGGTTCAAGCCTGGACAATTAAATAAACAGAGACAGACATAACCTGGCAGGTAACTGAATATGGGATTGAGAATGAATTTAGTTTTAATCAAATTGAGACTGAGGTGGCAGCCAGAGATTGCAGATGAACACTGGGCAGATGGAGATCATGAGCCTAGAGATGAGAGAGGACATGGCCAGAATCAGTTGTCAGTTATTCACACAGATGAACCCCCGCTGGACTCCCCAAACCCTCACTGTTTCAAAAGGAGGATACTAGCTAATGGTATCACATAAGCTCCTATGTCAAACAAAAGCAAGTTACTGCATGCAGCAGAAAGTGTAAGGGATAACCTCCAAAAAATTTAATATTTTCGACTCTAAACAAAATGGTACCTAATCTTTAAAATAAAGATCCAAAAAGAATCACACAACCAAATGCCAAACAGAAATGCTGGGTTTGTTCTTTCACAGAAATGTGTTATTTTATTTTCTAAAAAAGGACATTTATCTCCCTCCAATAGAAATGAATGCTTATTTTTCAATGAAAAGGTTATAGAACAAGCATAGAACATGTCAACAATACAACATAAACAGGAACAAACTATGATCAATTCAAAAAGCTTTGTGTTCAGATATATGAAGCAAGACAAAAACCTCAAGCATCTAAATCATTACAAAGACTTACCCAAAGCTTTTAGAGTCCTGCTTTATGAAGTACGTGCAGTAGCTAGAAACTGCCTCGTTAATTGACCATGGGTTCAGAAGCACCACAATTTCCCTTCCCCTGGAATGCATATATCACATCATCCATTTGTTGCCAGCTTCCCAGAAGAGAGTACCCACTCTGTTTTTCAGCCTGTGAACAGGACAAATGGGAGAAAAAAAGAGAAAGCAGAGTTTGGGAACAGTGCACCGGGCTCATCAGATGGTTCATGGAGTAAACAGATTACGGGCCCAGGGACCTGAAACATCTGAGTACTGAATGGATTAATGCACAGGGCAACTCAGGAAGCTGGGTCATAGTGCTTAGGAAGGGAATGCCAAAAGACTGAGGTGAGAGCCCAATATGCATGCCACCTCTACAAAGTTCCAGAGAGAGAGGGCAGCTGAAATGTTAACACTGGCCAGGTCCTTGGAGCTTCTGCTTCTCCCTGAGCCAGAATGTGAACAGCAAGGGCAAAATCACAGCCTAGATCCCAACCCAAGAAAAAACAGGTAAGGGGCAGCTCCTTTCCCCCACACTTTGTAACACATAGGGTATTCAAGTTTCAAAGATGGCTAGAGGAACCCAAAGACCTTCCTAAAGAAGGAAAGCAAGCATGACCACATGCTGCTCATTTCCTGGATCCTGATTCTACTGCCAAATTACAAAAACCATTTTATTTTGCATAAAACTTTAAAATACGTTTGCAGTAGAGAAACTCTTGCTTTTGTTTATAGTAATTTCCTTATATCAGAATGAATGTTACTCAGTTATAAATATAAGTATATACATACCTACATTTATAGGTATATAGGTAAGCTTCTTACATTCACACAGTAGACTTTGCACTGAGGCTTACTTTCATTATCCTAATGGCATAGTAGCTGGGAATGCCCCTGTCTTGAAGGACCCACCAACCCAATCCAACTACACTATTCACAGTAGACCAAGGTTTTCCCTTGGACCAGTACTGATTTTGGGAGATTTAAATTCTCAGTTTCTGAGTATCCTTTCTTCAGACTCAACCAGTTCACCAGGTATATTCCACTTCCACCCACCATCACTCTCCACTCCCAATAAAACACTTAAGTAAAACAATAAATACTGAGGGTCAGAAGGAAAAGTCAATTTAAATAACATCCTTGAGACATCATTCCAGTTCCTCCCTCTTCCTCAATCACCCTACCTCCCTACTCATCCAAAAATTGCTCTTGAAACTCCCAACAGCTATTCCTAGATTAGGCAAAATCCAACCCTTCCCAGTTCCTACTCCCTGAGGAGCATGCCCAAATCTACCAAGGTCCTTGGCAGCACTAAAGCCTTCTGTCTATCAAGATCCACCCTCCAAATTGTTTTAAAGCAAAAAGATCATAGCACACTTCCAGCCCTAATGCTTCTTCCTAGTACAAAGCCAGACAGAGCAGGGTCTTCTCAACCACTGTTTACTGAATTGAATTACCAGGATGCTATTCTAACTAACTGCTCACCATATCAAACTTCTACATTTCCCTTTCTCAGAGCAGCAAGGTCACTGCATATTAGAAATGTCTACCTCTCCAAAAGCAACTATTGTCAGCTACTACACTCTATTCTTTCCAATTATTGCCAGTGAAACTTACAACCTAACAACCAAGTGAAAAGTTGCCTCTTTTTTTTTTTTTAACAATATGAAATGAAGTCTCAGGAAGGCAAAATTAGTTGCCCACAGTCTTCTAATAAAGAGTTTTTTAAAAAGAATTCTTATGTTATACGAGGTACTATGAGAAGTGTGTAACTTACAACATCTCTTTTAATCCTCACACTAACCATGCAAAGAAAATAATACTATAAATTCCTTTTTATAGGAAGTAACACACGCTTAGGTTAAAAAATAAAATTCCGTGACCCAAATCGCAACAGTAAATGGGATTCAAACTCAGGCTAAATTTGGAGTTCAATCTGTTAAAGGATAACTGAAAGAAACAAACAAAAAGGTGGCACTGTGTCTCTCATGCAAATATAAAATCAACACCTCTATCTATAACTCTAATTAGGGAACAAATAAGATGTTCCAATTGGTTCAAATGAGAATCCAAAGAGCAGACACATACTTAGGCAATGGGAAATACTGAAATGAATTTGCTTAACAGATAAAAAACTGGCTTCTTCCACAAAAGAGAAAAAGAAAACCATTGTACTTCCAACAAACATCCTTTGCATGTAAAAGGGCAAGAATAATTTGTATTATTGTTATTCACAACTTACAAGGTTGTAAAATACATCAAAAACAATGAAAGCTACAGACTACAGAGTAGTAACCAAGAAAATTGCTCTAGCCAGCACCTGGGTTCCACTGAAGCTATTCAGTAATCCTTTTGTTAGGTTTCAGACTTTCACAAATTTTCCTTACACAGATCTGAACTGCTACACTTTTTTTTCTTTTAGATAAGGATCCACAGCTCCAAGATCTCTGACAACCACTAAAGAAAACTGGAGTTAATCCCCTCCATAAAACTAATCTTTCACAAAGATAAATTTTTCTCTACCAGGTACTAAGCCAGAAATTATATTATTAATTTATATCTCAATGCAGAAATAAAGTAATTCACTATACTGTCAAACCTCTTAAGAAATCTAAAACTAAAGAGAGTTTGGTTTTACTGAGCAATGACCCACAGAATTCTCTCTGGAGAAATAAAGACATAGTTAAGCTGTCACTTCCAAGTAACTAACCCAAAACTAGCTTCCTTCAGTGTCTTACTGGCTAATTCATGCATCTCAATTTCCACCCTGTATTTTCTTCCATAAAGAAGTAATCCCTGTCCAACTTTCGCTTCCAGCAAGATCAAGTAAATGTAGTTTTTCCTACTGCTCTAGCTAAGTACAACCAAAAATCCTGGCCATTATAGGTAAACAAATATGGGAAGACTCTGGACTCTGAAGATACAGATAAGGCAAACCAGGTAGGGACCTTGGGACCCATGGAAAATATGGTGGTGAGTTCCCTGGGTTTTCTTTTTGCCTCATCGTATACCACAGACAACCAGCTTAAAAACAAAAACAAAAAAACAAAAAACAAACCCCTGCTCTCCTAAGCCAAAGAAATGAGCAATAAACAACATGCCCTCCAGCCAATATCACAGAAAAAAACCGTGGCCCACCCCCACCCACAACAGCAAAAGCCATGTAGGGAGCCTAAGTTTCCACCCTTACAAGGCTGCAATGTTGTTCAGGCTCCCAGGTGTCTCTACCCCTTATCCTTTCAGGGGTGATATTGGAGAAGTCTAGACTTCCCTGCCAGGTGGTAATAAGACCCCCTTCCCCTGCCAGGGAGTATCTGTGGAGACCACCTGGAGAGCCTGGATTCCTCCTCCCACCTGGCAGTAATGAGACACTCCTTCTCATCCCCACTGGCGTGGTATCAGAGGAGGCCTAGCAGAGAGTCAGAACTTTCACCTCCGCCCAGGGGTAAGAAGGCCATCCCCTCCCAGTGGTGTCAGTAGAGTCCTAAAGAGGGGCTGACACTCCCACACTTGCCCAGTAGTAATGAGGACACCCACTTTGTGTGTCAATGGATCAGTTCCTCAAAAGCACAAACTACCACAACTCACCCAAAATTAAATGGATTATGTGAATAGCCCTAATAACTGTTAAAGAAATTGAATAAAGCCTTCGAAAAAGAAATCTGGCCCAGAACATTTCATTAAAGAATTCTACCAATGTTTAAAGAATTAAGATCAATTCACACAATCTCTTCCAGAAAACAGAAGCGTAGGGAGCACTTCCAATTTTTTTTTTTTTTTTTTTTTTTTTTTTGATATAGGGTCTCACTCCGTCACCCAGGCTGGAGTTGAGTGGCATGATCACAGCTCACTGCAGCCTCAACCTCCCAGGCTCAAGTGATCCTCCTGCCGCAGCCTCCCAAGTAGCTAGGACTATAGGCACATGCCACCACATCTGGCTAACTTTTTAATTTTTTTTTATAGAGTCAGGGCCTCCCTGTGTTCCCAGGCTGGTCTTCAACTTCTGGGATGAAGCAATCCTCCCAGAGGATGGTTTCAGGCTCCCAGAGTCCTGGGATTACAGGCGTGAGCCACCACACCCAGCCTAAGACAAAGATCTAACTGCAGACAGAAGTGGAGAAGGAAGGCCATAACGTGACCATAGAGGGAGAGATTAATGATGTAGCCATAAAACAAGGAATGCCATCAGCCACCAGAAGCTAGAAGAGGCAAGGAGCAGATTCTCCCCTAGATCTTCCAGAGGTGGTGTGGCCCTCTGACACCGTGATCTTGGCTGACTGATAATGATTTCAGAATTCTGGCCTCCAGAACGCTGAGAAATAAATGCCTGTCATTTTAAGTCACGATGTCTGCAGTAGTTTGTTATGGCAGCCAGAGGAAGCTAGTATAAATATCTCCCCATCTCCAAGTAAATATGTATGCAAAAGGCATACATATTTGACTAGTCTGAAGTACAAATACAAAAGAGAAAATCAGATACAATTTCAGAGTTCCTCATTCAAAATGAGAACGTAACACTCCTAAATTTTTTTACAGTTAAAGAAAGTATAGATAAAAAGAGAAATAAATACGGCTTTAGAAATTATATCCAATTATATCCACTGGATCCAATTATATCCACTGTATACTCAGTTCCCTGAAGATTAGCCTACTCAACAGACAAGAACTGTTTATCAAGTAGCCTAGCAAAAGAAGACTCAATCTTGAGTAACTCCGACTTCTAGTATATTCTTCTCTGAAGGAAAGAGAAGCTAAATTATATAGGTTTCATTACTACCATAAATAAATTCAACAAAATAAGGTCACTCTGGCACTCCTTGGAGTCCTCTAGATTATTTCCATCCTGCTTCTCCACTGCCTTCCCATTCTTAGTGAACAAAGCAAACATAATTCTTCCTTTAATTTAATCAATTGGTCTTAATGAATCACCATGTTAAAAATGTAAACAACCTAGGGCCACGTGCAGTGGCTCACGCCTGTAATCACAGCACTTTGGGAGGTCGAAGAGGGAGAATCACTTGAGCTCAGGAGTTCGGGACCAGCCCAGGCAACACAACAATATCTCTACAAAAAAAAAAAAAAATTAGCCAGACGCGGTGGCACATGCCTGTAGTACCAGCTACTCTGGGAAGCTTGAGATGGGAGGATCACTTGAGTCCATGCATTCAAGGTTACAGTGAGCTGTGATCAGGCTACTGCAATCCAGTCTGGGCAACAGAGTGAGACCCTGTCTCTATTAAAAAATAAAAATAAAAAATAAAAAAACCTAAGTTTAAATCTGCAGTTACTCTCATTAAGAAGTATGTTAACCCAGTAATTCACACTGTCCAGGTTGAGCACTACATCATAAAATTTCATTATGTGTATGATTATAACACAAACAATAAACCTGGTAATATATTTTACTGAATTTTGAAATGATATAATGGAACATGCAAGACTATCAAAACAATCATTATAACACATGAAAGGGGAAAAGGCAAAAAGGATGTCTCATTTAAATCTCCCACATTATAGACAGACTCACCCTAAGTAGCTACCGTAAGTTACATTCAGCATGGATATTCAGAAACTTTGGACATAACTTGTAATACAAGGCATACTCATTGAAATAATCCCTTACACTTAATGCCACACAAGTACAGTATATTTTAAATTTACAGTACATTAAAACAGGCATTATAGCATAGTAATTAAGAGCACAGACTCTGAAACTAGACTGCGTAGGTTCAAATCCATGCCCCGTACCTTCTTTGGGCTTCTGTTTCCTCATAAGTAAAATGAGGATAATAACAGTATTTGTATTTACTTCACAGTGGAAGCTGGGAGGGTTAAAGGAGTTAAAAACTTAAAGCACTTAGAACAGAACTCAGTATACACCTGGCACTCACACGTTATTAAAAGAGAGGGTCACCATTACTACCTACGGTCTTCATAATAGTTTCATAGCCGTCATGTTTACTTTTCATCAAAGAAAACCTACAGATGATGAAATCTCAATGACCTCTGTAGTGAAGGCACTGATTTGTGTTTATCTCCCCCTCTACACAGTAAGCTCAAAGACAGAAACCACATCTTATTTAACTCTGTCCCCATCACCAAGTTCATGGTGTACATCCAAAAATGATCGAGTTTAGTCAAGAAACGTTTTGGTGTTCAAGCCACCCCAACTTTCAATCAGTTTCCTCCCTAACTCTACACAGGTAAATTTTCATTTAAAGGCTACACAAACAGAAAAAAATAATTCTAAGACAGTATTTATATTATGAAAGAAGAAATGGTAAAAGCCACAGCCAAGGCTGCCTTTCCCAAGATACCTAAACATTCCAGTGGGGGAAGAGTCCCTGTCAAGAGTTAAAAACAATCCCCTCAGTCCACACTCCCAGTCACATGGAGCTGGAAGAGCTGGAAGAACCGCCGCCACCACTCATTCCTCTTTCTTCATCATTTATTTTTATCTTCATCCAGCATTTCCTTTCTTTGTGATACCACCAGTAGATACCAGCTCAACAACATGCTATCCCCCGCTCCATGAGTTCTCCCGAGGGAATGAACTATATACGCTTATATAAAACAGATGTGGTCTCTTATTTGAGAGGAAAAACTAAGGGTACCATAACTCTTCCCTTTATCTTTGTCCCTAGAACAGTAATCCATTTTCTCTGAGCAAGTGAACAACTGAAGTCTTCAGAACTCAACTGCGAAAAGCTGCAGACAAGGCAGCTAATCCTCTGTTGTCAGCTTTCACTGATGGCAACCCCTCATATGTCTCTTCCATTTGCCTCCCGAGTTTTTACAGTAGGATCCCTATGGCCCTACTGCCACAAGCAGAGGACAAGGTAAAGGTGTGAATAAAACTTGTAAGACTTTTTTGGGGCATTACCTCACAGCCACAGGAAACACACCGAAAGCTTTTCTTAGCTCGTTGCATTAAAAATCCTGCAGCCAAAGGAATTACAGCAGTCCTCATTAGCCAATAGCAATTAGTGCCTCACAGGGAGAAGACCACACAGCCATTTCTCTTTAACAAAGACCATATTTCATAATGATGAAAAAGAGACCTGCTTAGAATTTTCCCAAAAAATAAAACAAAAAAATCTATTATGTTCATAAAATATCATGTATTGTATTGATCAAAACTTAGATTACACTTTGCAACTGTGCATTAATTCTTAGGACAAAAACTAATGAATATGTGGAGTGCTTGGGGCATAATTTTGTGACCAAATTGTAAAACAGCATGATGTGACGGCCTTAATTTCACATTTGCCTTTTGCAAAACAATTATATAAAAGTCATTTTAGCGAAAAAAAAAAAAATTATACTTTTCATCATTTGTCTCCTGGAGCCTCTCACACTCCTTTTAAATTCTTTTAAAGTACCTCTTTCATAATTATCCCTGCTGTTTTTTCTCATTTAAAGTTAAGTGATCTTGCATTGCCATATTCTCACTAGAGCCTCTTTTTTATTATTAAAGTATATATATACAATAAAGTGCACAATCCTCATATTTTTACATATTCTGAATTTTTACATATACATACACCCATGTAACCACCACACATCTCAACATATAAAATGTTGCCAGAAGGTTCCCTCATGCCCTTTCCCAGTCATTACCACCACCACCAACCCAGAGTAATCACTATTCTGACTTCTGTCACCAGGGAAGTATTGTACTTCTTTGTGACTTCATTTAAATGGAATCATGCAGTGTACAATCTTATGTCTGACTTATGTCTGTAAGATACATCCATGTTGATACATATATCCATAATCCATTGTCTTTTACTGGTTTTGCAGTGTTTCGTCTTATAAATGTATCACAATTTACTCATCCATTCTACTGCTGATGTACAACTGGTTCTGCAGTGTTTCATCTTATAAATATATCACAATTTACTCATCCATTCTACTGCTGATGTACAACTGGTTCTGCAGTGTTTCATCTTATAAATATATCACAATTTACTCATCCATTCTACTGCTGATGTACAACTGGTTCTGCAGTGTTTCATCTTATAAATATATCACAATTTACTCATCCATTCTACTGCTGATGTACAACTGGTTCTGCAGTGTTCCATCTTATAAATATATCACGATTTACTCATCCATTCTACTGCTGATGTACAATAGGTTCTGCAGTGTTTCATCTTATAAACATATCACAATTTACTCATCCATTCTACTGCTGATGTACAATTGAGTTATATCCAATTTTTGATTATGAATAAAGGCACTATAAACATTCTTTAACATGTTTTTTAGTTTAACATGCATTAGTTTCTCTTGAGTATACCTAGGAATGCAAGCATTTGATCACGGGTAGGAGTAGACAAAGCCACAGTCTTCCAAAGTGACTGTACCATTTGACATCCCCACCAACAATATGTAAGAGATCCAGTTGGTCTACACCCTTGCCAACACTGGCCCCCACCAACAATATGTAAGAGATCCAGTTGGTCTACACCCTTGTCAACACCGGCACTGTCCATCTTTTTAATTTTAGTTATTCTGGAAGGTGTATAGCAGTATCTCATTATTGTTTTAATTTATATTTCCCACTGGCAAATAATGTTAAGTACCTTTTTATGTGCATACTGGCCATTCTGAGACCCTCTAATAGACAGTGCCTGTTCAAGACATCTATGCATTTTTAAAATGATTTTTCTCATTAATTTTGTTTATGCTACACACACACAAATAAACACACACACACGGTATGAGTCCTTGGTCAGATATATAAATTGCAAATTTCTTCTTCCGGTCCATATTTTGCTCTTCATTTTCTTAGTGGTGTCTTCAGATGAAGAGAAGTTTCCAATTTTAAAGAAGTCTGAAGACAAATTTATCAATCATTTTCATGATCATTGCTTTCTGAGTCCTTTTTAAGAATCTCTGCCTATTCCAGGCACTAGTCCTTTATTTGCGCTTATGGTTTCAGCAGTTCTCCCCCTTGCTTTGACTTCATGAAATCCTGCATCTTTTGCAAGATTTGCACACCCTACCTTGTAGTCGATTTGCACTGCATTCATGTTATGTTGTTAGGTGCTGGACAACTTTAGTGTTACACACGTTTAAGTGGAGATCAGCTTTAAAACTAGAGAAACCATCAGTGATTACTTCCATATTACAATGATTTCTGTACAAATATATTCAAAACCTAAAGTAAAAAGAAAAAAATTCTAACACCCATTATCCTAGCATTTTTGTAGCATAAAGTGGAAGCTATGCATCTAATCGAGATCCTTCTACAGTTCCCACTGCCCGCAGGAGAGTTCCCACTCTCTTAGCTAAGAGTTCACAACCTGGCTCTAACCTTTCCTGGCTTCTCTCCCAGCAACACCTGTAATACTGTGGTCTGACCCCTGGACACCATGAGCTCTCACTTGTCCTAGCTTTGCTCTGTTTCTCCCTACGCCTTTATCCTCCAGTTAGCTCCCTTCCTCTTCTGGCCAGGCCCATCCCAGAAGAAGTAACTGTTCCCTTTTATGTGCTCTCACAGGTCTCTGTACCCACAATTATATTTGAGTCCTTATCATGCTTTATTAGTTAATCATTTATTTATTTGTCTCAACTGTCTACAAACTTCTGGACCTGGGACTTCTCCCTGAACTCCTCAAGGGTAGGGTCAGGAGTTAATGTTTACATCCTAAAGACTTGGCAGGGCTATTCCATAAAGGTTCAATGAAACAATAAATGTCCTAGCCACTTTTACTCATCCTATTTTATTAATAAATAAAGACTGGAAAAATTAGCACAAGTATATCAAAACAACAAGCTTAACTAAAATCAGTTTTCTTTTAAAAGTCCCCCAGCAAATTATTCTTTTAAAAAATGTAATAAAAACAAAAATCCCAATTATTGATTTGTGCTTCCTGATAGAAATTAGTCATAACTAGCCAGGCACAGTGGCTCACACCTGTAATCCCAACACTTTGGGAGGCTGAGGCAGGCGGATCACCTGAGGTCGGGAGCTCAAGACTAGCCTGACCAACACAGAGAAACCCCGTCTCTACTAACAATACAAAATTAGCCAGGCGTAGTGGCACATGTCTGTAATCCCAGCTACTCAGGAGGCTGAGGCAGGAGAATCGCTTGAACCCGGGAGGCAGAGGCTGTGGTGAGCCGAGATCGTGCCATTGCACTCCAGCCCTGGCAACAAGAGCGAACCTCCCTCTCAAAAAAAAAAAAAAAAGAAATTAGTCATAACTCTGTTTCAAAATAACTTTTTAATTAATGGGCAACACAAGTAAGAAGAATATACCACTTAACCAAAGTAAATGTAATTGTTACCACACAAATCACTATTGGACGCCAATGGAATAAACCATGATTATTATTTACACAAGATCACAAACAAAACTACTGGCTTGAAATATGTGTTCATTCTAGGACATTGCTAGAGCCTTTGAAAAAGAAAAATATATATATTAAAAATGAAAAATTTGTACATGAATTAATGTTTCCCCTTAATACATAACACATCTGTATGTCATAGGAAGATAGTAGGCATGGTGGTAGTAAGACAGTAAGAACACAGGCTGGAAACACAATGCTAATTGTGTGATATGGACAAATTACTTAAACTTCAATGTGCTTCAGTTTCCTCATCTGCAAAATAAAGATAATAAATGTATCCGCCTCACAGTGATGCTAGATGACTGAGTTGGCACATATAAGTCCCCGGATTCAGTGCCTGGCAGAGTACATGAATGCAGAGGAATAAATTTCAAATATTTTCACTGTTTTTTTAACTTTTTAAAGCCCTTTCACACATACTGTCTTTTCTTTTTCCTCCCAACAGTGCAATGAGATTGTTTGAATAAGAAATACTCACTTTAGAGATAAGACACCAATAGTGAAGTTGTATGATTACCCTAAGATATTTTTAAGTGGCAGAGTTTGGACTAGAATCCACCCATAACCTCAACCCCAGGACAAACTGACCAAATCTCCATGGATCCAGTTTGGAAGAATCTTTTGGGTTTTCCCCATTGCTTCCTCCTGGTTGTCAGCAACAGCCAGCCTAAAGACCTGGTGGGGGCAGATGCAGACGACCATGTGTTCAAATTAAAAAGTAGGAGAAGCCTAGCTTTCACAGAAACTGACACATAGTTGGCACTCCAGAGATTGCAGCTATTGATGACTGAAACACAAGCGCTATTACGTTTTTCTCAGTTACAGAACAAGGTACTACTCCATAAAATCAAGCCTACTACCAAAAACAAAAGTCAGTTAACATTATGCTTATCTGTCATATCAAGCATATCAAAGTACAATGTGCAACAGAAACCTAAACGAAAAAGTGATGATGTATTTTTACTTACTCTCAAAAAATATGTTTTACAAAAAGGGCTTTCATCAAGTCAGTTTTTTGAAAACTAACCCACGTAGTTATACTTCATGAGATGACGTTTCTTTGAACAAATAAGTTAATGATATGAATAAATATTTCATCTTGGTAATGCCTTCAACACATATCTTCAATACTTTTCTTGGACTTAAAGTGACTTCAATCCCTAATCTCATCTACTGCCATGTACACAAGAAACACAGTTAATGAACTTTAAAGGCAGATGCAGTATTTCCAGGGAAGCCACCTGAACCAGGGAAGTACAAGAAAGCAAAACATCTCCACAACCACATCTAAGTGCCTTATCTTTCAACTTCTTTTCTTCAAATGGGCAATTAGAAGCTACGATACACCTTAAAGATCAGGTTTGGCATCCGCCCTGGCTAGGGCCTACCTTTCTTTTCGCGGCACTGCCACTCTGGCACCTACAGGCAGGCCTTTGGCGCCTGCAGGACTCGCAGGGAAGACAACCCCAGCCCCTGCTCTCCACGGCTCTCGTCGAAGCCCCGCACGTGGTGACCACTTGAGACGTTTTAGTGCATGGGATTTAACAGGGTCAGACCTCAGGTTGCGTTCCGGGACAGTGCAGCTCCCAGACCCGCTGAGGTCGCAGGAGGAAGGTTTTGACGCTCCTAGCGTAAACACCGACGGGACCCTCTTCGCCCCGCGGCTACCTCGCCCTCGCCGCTCGCGCGGCCCCTCAGCACCTGACGCCTCAGCCAGCCTCCAGGAGTCGCTTCCCCGCGCCTCCTTCCACCTGAGCCAGCGACGCTACCGCCACCTGCACCGGGACCCCAAATGCCAGGCCAGTGGCCGTTACCCGAGGTCGCGGCCCGGGGAAGGTCCATGGCTCAGGAGGAAAAGCCCGGGCTGCAGCTCCCCTTCCTGCACCTCTGAGATCCCCCGGCCGCCGCCATTTTCCTCGCGCCGTAACCCCACCTGATAGTTCCAGCCTCCCACCTGTGACAAGCAGGGCACGCCGCGCGACGCCGAGTGGGGTGCGTGGGCAAGCTGGGGCTCCGTAGGGGTCACAACCTCCGTGCGGAACCCGCCGTTAATTCATCCCGTAACGCGGAGGCGTCCGGCCGTCGCCCTAGTAATGCGTCCCGGAAGGCTACGTCCTGATTGGCTGCAGGCGCCGTGACGCAACGGCGTCCCCGGCTGCGTGGGAAACCCGGGTCCCCGGCGCCCCGCGCTTGCTCCACAGCCCGGGATACCCCGGGTACCTTTCTTTGAGAGCTCCTTTAAAGAGGCCTCGCTTATTTCCTCGTCTGGCCTCCTGGAGAGGAGGGACCCACGGAACGGTGGGGTGTAGGGGTGAGAAAACAACGAAATAGGAAATTAGCGGAGGTCATTTGTCCGAGGGAACCTAATGGTTCATTCAACCCCTAGAGCTGCAAAATGGAAAACAGAAATCTGGGAGTTTAATTTACAAGCCTAAATTTGGTGCGCGAAGTCACAGGACAAATCAGTAGTAGAAGCAGTTATAGAACCCAGGTTCCCTGATCAGGAGCACAAAGTTTTTCTAGCACACTCAGTGTTTCCCCAGTCCTAGAAAATGTTTCCTCCCAGTTCCCATAGCAATTTCATCACACTGCTCTTAAAAGGTCTCGATCACCTATCATGGTGTGTCTGTCCTGTCCCCTAACCTACTAGATTGCATGCCCCTGAATGGTGGGGACTGTGGTTAAACCCCTTTTCATTTCCCTTAAGCAATTCCCTCCTCAACTTGGCCTTCAACAAATACAATAAGAATCTTAAAAATAATAAACATAGCTACACATCACACACAGCCACTCATCAGTAGTTCATGTATGTCTATACGTTTTATCCGTTTATTCAACAAAGCACAGAGTGAATATTTTTAAAATTACAAGGTTCCTGACCTCACAAAATTTATGGTGTAATAATAATGACCATCTACATGTTGGCTGCATAGCTTCAATATAGCTAAATTATATCCCCAAATTGCCTGTAAATCAAAGATTCTTGTGCTCTTTTCCTAAATTAGCTTCATAATTTCTCTAAGTTTGTTCCAAAACATTTTAATATTTAAGATGTGCTAAAATTGCATCAGAAAGTGAAGAATGACTACAGAGAGAAACACCAGAACAAAAGTCAATTCTGCCAATTATGCCTATGACTTTAGGCCTCCTTTTTACCTTTAAAATAAGATTACTGGAATAAAAGATCTCCCAATTCTTTTTTGTTGTTGTTAAGAGTTGGCCTGGCTATGCTCCAGAACCTTCAAGGGCTCTACTGTGGTTCTTTGGGGGCTTGCCGGAGGTTCCTCATAGCCTTTGCAGCTCCATTGCAGAGAGCTCTAGCATTGTGAGGTGTGTCCGGTGATACAGCCCAAGAGGCAAGGTTGCCCTTACCGCCCTAACCACAGAGGACAGTGCTGGGCTCTTTCTTTTTTCTTTTCTTTGCTTTTTTTTTTTTTTTTTTTTTTTTTGAGACAGGGTCTCGCTCTGTCACCTAGGCTGGAGTGCAGTGGCATGATTGTGGCCCACTACAACCCCTGCCTCCTGGACTCAAGCAATCCTCCCACCTCAGCCTCCAGACTAACTGGAACTACAGGCATCTGCCACCATGCCCAGCTAATTTTGTGTTTTTTGTAGAGACAGGATTTCAACATGTTGCCAGGCTGGTCTCGAACTCCTGAGCTCAAGCTATCCACCCACCTTGGCCTCTCAAAGTGCTGGGATTAGAGGCTTGAGCCACCGCGCCTGGCCCTGAGCCCGTTCTTGATCTGAGCTACTGATCAGTAGCCACCTTCCACGTCAACTGCTAAAGGGATAGGAACAGAATTCCCAAGGGCAAAATATGCTGATTTCTAAACTCAGAGATCTGCTAAGTGTCATGCTTCTTTCTTTTTGGCAGAGGTGCAAGGTGTAGTAACATGTTTTTCATTCTGGGGAAAATGTCTTGACGTGCCCAAGATCATTGGACCACTTCAGCATCCAAAATGATGTATAGTTTACATAATGCTATTGTACCAGGATCATTCTTTGTTTTGATACATGTTCTATGCTTACACAAGATGTTGACATAAGGGGAAGCTAGGTAAAGAATATATGGAAAAATCCCTGTACTCTCTTTACATCTCTCCTAAGTCTAAAACTACCCCCCCAGTTTTTTAAATAATTATTTTAAAATATCACCAATGTAGCAAGCTCCTGAATTTTTGTGGGGTTTATCCGCGTCTGAAATGTATGTATTTCATCAAGACATCCAGAGAAGTAGTCCCCGACCTTTTTGGCACCAGGGACTGCTTTCGTGGAAGACAGTTTTTCCATGAACGGGGTGAAGGGTGAAGGGGGTGATTTCGGGATGATTCAACCACATTACATTTATTGTGCACTTTATTTCTATTATTATTACATTGTAGTATATAACACTTAAAAAGTGGTGTTAATCTGTGCTCTACTGTCCCAAAGGGACAAGTTTCTCAATCTTTCCTGACCCCAGTAACAGAGCATCACAGCTGATGAATTGCTGAACCTCATGAGCCATTGACTTAATGGTCACATTTAATAGGGCACTCTCTGTAATGCTCAGGGACACACTATGACATACAGGAAATCTCAAGTCCTAGTTCTTATTGTACTTTTGTCATTATTGGGGTACTTTCTATGCCCATGTAATTGCTCACTCCTCTTCAAAATGTGAGAGTAATAAGGGAAAATCTGTGCTCAATAACAGACCTCAGAAAAGAGCCAAGTACATTGCCGCCAATAAAATCGGAGCAAGTCTCTCCCAAGGTAATGAATACAAGCAACATGCAGCCCAGTGCCAGCAGAGGCCACAGATACTTAACTGGAGGCCCAGAGTGGCCCATTTATTATAGCCTACAGTTTATTGCTTGCAAGCAAGAATTGCAAAATTTCTTTTGCAATTCCCTCTTTGCAAAAATTTCTATGAATGAGACTTAGCATTACCTAATATCACCAGTCATCCAACGAGATTCTGAAATTCAAAAGGCATTTGAAATGAAATGTTTTAATTTCTTGAGACATGGAGTAAGCCATGTCTTTGGTAGCTGAGGAGTTTTGGTGCTAGAAGGTACAGCTTGGAAGTAGTGACAAATTTACATTAGCACAAAACAGCTGTGGAGTCTAATTATTAATAGTTCTGATTATTCTCTTTTTGCTCCATCTCTCCCCTTCCCCGTTCCCCACCCCCATCTTTTTTGTTGTTGTTGTTGAGACAGAGTTTCGCTGTTGTTGCCCAGGCTGGAGTGCAATGGCACCATCCTAGCTCACCACAACCTCGGCCTCCCGGGTTCAAGCAATTCTCCTGCCTTATCCTCCCGAGCAACTGGGATTACATGCATGTGCCAACCACACCTGGCTAATTTTGTATTTTCAGTAGAGACCGGGTATCTCCATGTTGGTCAGGCTGGTCTTGAACTCCTGACCTCCGGTGATCCACCCCCCTCAGCTTCCCAAACTGGTGGAATTACAGGTGTGAGCCACCTCGCCCGGCCCCACCCCCATCTTTATGCTGACTTGTCCGGCTTTCCTCTCCTGACTCCTGGTCTTTTGCCTCTGGCAGGGTTTAGCCAATGGGAGGCCCTGGCTGGACTCTGCAGGGTGGGCTGAGAAACAGCTCAAGGCTGCATTCCCCTGGCTCCCTCCCTGTGGGGCTGCAGGGTGGCAGTGGCTTCAACACTTCACGTAAGGCCACAGCTCCTTGTCTAGAGCCCAGCTCTCACTGGATTCTGGGACCCACTCCCCGCCTTGTCCCTTTAGGCAGGGCCCACAGGGTGTGTGATGGCCTAACTTATTGTGTCTAGCCTCAGGGTACTTCATTGCCCTCTGTTAATTTCCCTTAACGCTGATTGTACCTTTGTAGTCAGCCTTCAACTCTCTTTAATCATCCCTCTGTGCCAAGGGTGTCACTTGTTTCTTGTGAAAACCTAACTGATATATTGATGGACCAAAATTTCACTTAGGCTAAAAAGATACAACTACCAGAAAGTATGTTTAGAACCCTGGTGATGAGTCACTCATCCAACATAGAAAAAAACAATTTTATCCTATTGCTACTACTCAATACAAACCCTCTGTATCAGTAAGGAACACCTTCCTCTGTAAGTTATCACAAACTCAACTAACAGTGCAACTAACAGTGGCTTAAACCACAAGAACATTTATTGTTACTTAACTCAAAGTGTAGAGATAGGTAATCTCAGAATTAACTCTAACTTAAAAATGACATCCAGGACTCAGGTTCTTTCATTTCTTTTTTTTCTTTTTGTTTTTGTTGTTGTTGTTGTTGTTGTTTGTTTGTTTTTGAGACCAGGCTAGAGTACAGTGGCATGATTTCATCATAGCTCACTGCAGCCTGGGCCCCAGGGATCCTCCTGGCTAAGCTTTTTTAATTTCTTAGAGACAGGGTATTGCTATGCTGCCCAGACTGGTCTTGAACTCCCAGCCCCAAGCAATCCTCTCGCTTCCTGAGTATTTGGGATTACAGGCATGAACCACAGCACCCAGCCAACTCAGGTTCTTTCTCTCCTTCTGCCCTGCCTTCCTTAGCATATTGGCCTTACATTTTTATGTTTATTGCCTCATGGCCGCAAGATGGTTGTCAACAACTCCAGACATCACAGTCATCTCCAAAGGCAAGAAACAATGGGTCAGGTGCAGTGGCTCACACCTATAATCCCAACACTCTAGGAGGCTGAGACCTGCATATCACCTGAGGCCAGGAGTTCGAGACCAGTCTGGCCAACATGGTGAAACCCTGTCTTTACTAAAAATACCAAACTTAGCTGGTTGTAATGGTGCATGCCCGGAATCCCAGCTACTCAGAAGGCTGAGACAGGAGACTTGCTTGAATCTGGGAGGTGGAGGTTGCAGTGATCTCAGATCGTGCCACCGCACTGCAGCCTGGGCAACAGAGCAAGACACCCTCTCAAAAAAATAAAATAAAAAAGAAATGTTTGTTACCTTTTCTCTATTGTTTCTCTAAATAGTAACGACCTTTAAGGCCCAATTCCAATCTCTTCAACATCTATTTTCGACCGCCACTGAATTATCTCTGATGACCACATAATCACTGTGAGATGGCCATCCCGCAACCTATATTGACTGTATTTTCTTTTTTTTTTTTTTTTTTTAGATGGAGTTTTGCTCTTGTTGCCGAGGCTAGAGTGCAATGGCGCAATCTCAGCTCACCACAACCCCCGCCTCCCAGGTTCAAGCAATTCTCCTGCCTCAGCCTCCCAAGTAGCTGGGATTTCAGGCATGCGCCACCACCCCCGCTAATTTTGTATTTTTAGTAGAGATGGGATTTCTCCATGTTGGTCAGGCTGGTCTTGAATTCTCAACCTCAGGTGATCCGCCCACCTCGGCCTCCCAAAGTGCTGGGATTACAGGCGTGAGCCACTACGCCCGGCTGTATTTTTTTATTTTCTGTGTTCTTGATGCTTTGTCATCTGAGACCTCCTTGAAGAACTACCTATACCAGGGTTAGCAAATAACTCTCCCAGGAGTGTGCCTTTCATAGGCAAACCAACTAATCCAGACACACAAACCCCCACCTTCTCTAACTGGTTCTTACACTCCAGGCCAATATTCCTCTGCCCATGCACCAGACAACTTGGGATAGCTCCTCTACCTCAGAGCCTGCTGAGATCAAAACTAGCCTATCCTAAGCCTGCATACCCTGCCTTGCCCATTCCTTCCCATAGAAACCATAGTAAAGACTTTCCCATGATTTCCTCCTGCTTTTTGTGTATTTTTATTTTTTATTTTTTATTTTTATTTTTAGAGAAATCCCATCTCTACTAAAAATACAAAATTAGCGGGGGTGGTGGCGCATGCCTGAAATCCCAGCTACTTGGGAGGCTGAGGCAGGAGAATTGCTTGAACCTGGGAGGCGGGGGTTGTGGTGAGCTGAGATCGCGCCATTGCACTCTAGCCTCGGCAACAAGAGCAAAACTCCATCTAAAAAAAAAAAAAAAAGAAAACCTCGCTATGTTGCCCAGCCTTGTCTCGAACTCCTGGACCGAAGTGATCCTTCTTGCCTTGGCCTCCAGAAGCACTGGGATTACAGGCATGAGCCACTGCACTTGGCCGGCTTGTGCATTCTGACCAAGCTTGGTGCTCCCCGCTGTGGGCCCACGTGGAGTGACATGTGCTGTCCTCTTGACTGTAACAGATTATCTTTTCAATGGAAGTTATCTCCCCATCTCTTGGCCACACCATACCTGAATAACAAGAAAACTTTTGAAAAACAAACCCCTTCTTTTTCTTGGTGGTTTTCTAACCATTTGCCATCTCTACCCAGGGACCAGCTCTGTGGAGATCTTGGTCCTAGCCTACAATTGGTTGTATAATACGATCCTTCCCCAGAGTGGGCCCATATATCCCAGTCTTCCAACCAGAGCTTCTACAGCACAAACAAATCTTTCCCTGTTAATATTCACCACCTCTAGAAGTATAACTTAAGTTATGCCAAAGACCACATTCTTTCAGGGTTGAGGAGAAAGAAATAAGTGACACTGTAGGAAAATAACTCCATATGCTATAAACTAAGTTATTTAATTTTACTATGACCCCAGAAATAATATATTATCCTCATTCTACAGATGTAAAACCAAGGATCAGTGTATTATTTTCCTATTGCTACTGTAACAAATTACCATAAATTTAGTGGCTCAAAACAACAGAAATTCATCATCTTCCAGGTCTAGAGGTCAAAAGTCCAAAATCAGTTTTACTGAGTAATGTCAAGGTGTTGGCAGCATTCGTCCCTTCTGGAGATTCAAAGGGAGAATCCATTTCCTTTCCTTTTTCAGCTTCTAGTATCAGTGCTACTTGTTTTGTGGCCTTTTCCACCATCTGTAAAGCACATCACTCCAGTCTGTGTTCCCAACATCACTTCACCTTCTCCTCTTCCATAGTAAAATCTCTCTCTGCCTCTCTCTTAGAAGGACATTTGTGATTACATTTAGGGTCCACCAGATAATCCGGGATAATCTCCCCATCTCAAAATCCTTAATTTAATCACAATTGCACAGTTCCTTTTGCCATATATGGTAACATTCATAGGTTCCAGGAATTAGGATCTGGATATTTTTGAGAGCTATTCTTCAGCCTCCCGCACTGGGATCCACGGGGCTAAAATCAAGGTGTCTGCAGGGCTGCATTGCTTCTGAAGATTCTAGGGGTGATTCCATTTCCTTGCCTTTCTCAGCTTCTAGAGACTACCTGAGTTCCTTGCCTTGTGGCCCCTTCCTCCACCTTTGAAGTCAGCTGTGTCTCATCTTCATTTCTCGCACTGAAAACTCTGCTTCCGTCATCACTGAGCCTGCACTAATTCTGACTCTCCTGCCTCTCTCTTTCCTTTATAAGGTTGGGCCTAGAATAACCGAGGAAAATCTCACCTGCAAAGTCCCTTTTGCCATGTAAGGTAACATATTTACAGATTTAGAGGATTAGGACAGGGACATCTTTGGGGGCCATTATTACTGCGTACCACATACGGACCAAAAGCAGTCCTGCGGTTGCCGGGGAACAGGGTGGGGAGGAGGAAAACGGAGGGGCTACAAAGGAGCAGTAGAACACTTTTGGGGAGAAGGTTAGGATTATCTTGACTGGATGATGGTTTCATGGGTGTACACATAGGTCAAAACTTAAATTGTACCTTGATATGGTTTGGCTGTGTCCCCACCAAATCTCATCTTGAATTGTATTAATAGTTCCCATTATCCCCATGTGTCATGGGAGGGACCCTCTGGGAGGTAATTTAATCATGGGGGCAGTTACTCTCATACTATTCTTGTGATAGTGAGTGAGTTCTCATAAGATCTGATTGTTTTATAAGGGACTTCCCTCCCCACCCACTTCGCTGTCATGCTTCTCCTTCCTGGCACCGTGTGAAGAAGGATGTGTTTGCTTCCCCTTCCACCATGATTGTAAATTTCCTGAGGTCTCCCCAGCCATGGAGAACTGTGAGCCAATTAAACCTCTTTCCTTTATAAATTATATGCCCAGTCTCAGCCAGGCATGGTGGCTCACGCCTGTAATCCCAGCTCTTTGGGAGGCCGAGGTGGGCAGATAACGAGGTCAGGAGATTGAGACCATCCTAGCTAATACGGTGAAACCCCGTCTCTACTAAAAATACAAAAAAACTAGCCAGGCGTGGTAGTGGGCGCCTGTAGTCCCAGCTACTCGGGAGGCTGAGGCAGGAGAATGGCGTGAACCTGGGAGGCGGAGCTTGCAGTGAGCCAAGATCACGTCACTGCACTCCAGCCTGGGCAACAGAGCGAGACTCCGTCTAAAAAATAAATAAATAAATAAATTACCCAGTCTCAGGTACGTCTTTATTAGCAGCAAGAGAACAAACTAACATAGACCTTTAAATATGTGCAGTGTGCTGCATGTCAATTATACCTTAATAAAGCTGTTAAGATTAAACTAAATGAGAAAACAAAAAAAACAAACAAAAAAACTGAGGCTCAGAAATCTTGACTAAGTCTTCAGAACTAGATGGTGGTGTAGCCAAAATGCACACTCTGATGAGTCCATGTCATGCCGAAGGCCATGCCTCTGATGGTGCCTCACTTCTTTATTCTCTCTTCTGTATAATTGAGATGGTAATACTTGCTCCTTAGGAATGGGGGTACATACTAGATGCCCAATATATGGTCATTTCCTTCCCTTTACCCTTTTAGGCCTACCGACTAGCCAGTTTCTAAGTATCCTGGAGCATATTCTGTTTTACAGAAACTGAAAATTATTACTTTCTTCATAAAAGAGAGAAAGGCATCCAAGAAAAATACCACATGAAGCCAACAGAGTAGTAAATAGGCCTTGCCTTCAGGTATTCTCAGCTATAAATGTCCCAGGCTATAAAATGCAAAGCAACACCCAGGATCAGATATACATGCTTTATTCTCAGAAATCTAGGCTGGTTCATTTTGGTGCCTCGTGATGAGAGACAGTTTCCAGGAACAAATAGGGGGAGGCAAGCATGTGGAAGCTGCCCCATGGTTAGAAACAATGATATGAAAAATGATTGCTGTATCCAAGGTCACAAAGCTCTTTTGACTGATATGCCATGCTTGGGTCATAGTGGTGAAATGAAACAGAACAGTACTCCTGGCTGGTCAAGAAACCTGTCTGTTTCCAGGATTTCCTCAAAAGAAGACAATGTCATTTATGTGTTTTTATGCTTCGTCATCAATGTGTTCATGTGTTTAGAAAACAGTATCTTCTATTCCTGGATAAATTGAAAATAGCTTGAAAAAAGAGTCCTCATTTCCAGTTTCCTCTGGAATTCTTCACAGGTTACTATATACCATTTCTTCCCTATCTTGGATGGGGCTGCCCTAGGCCCTGATTCAAGTTCACTTTGGATTTACTTCCTGTTTCTTGACCTCTGTATTCGTTTCTTCCACCAAAGTCATGCATGTTTCATGATCACATCAGCTTATGTTGGTCACATCAATCGACTTAGGGAAATAGGAATAAATAACTCAAGCAAAAAATAAAAATAAATAATAAGTAAACAAGAGGTGGGAGAATAGTAGATGTCTCAATCCTCGGTTTGGCACTAAAAACACCATCCAGTTCATCATCCTGTAGGCAAACTACCAGTAAGAAGTGAATTTAAGATTTATAGTCACAGTTTCATAAATGCTAAGCATAGCAAAGACAGCTAGATGCAATCCAGTTCCACTGCCACGTACCAACTCTATATTTGAGGCAAAGTAGTTTGACTTCCCTGAGCCTCAGTTTTCTCATTTGCAAAATGAGAAAAATAAATAGTTCCTGCCTTGTGGAGCTGTGATGAGGTGCTAGTACATGTAGTAGATGCTTAGCAAATGAGAGTTGCCTTCTTTTTACTTCTTCCTTCTGTCCATCTTTATCTAATTTGGCTTATGAATTTGCTCCAGTTAAATGCCTCAGGGGAGATGAAAATGTGAATGTCAATCAACCTAGAAAGAAAGTGCTTATGCACTTTGACCCATGGAGAACAATTAGTCCTCAAAAGCACTGAGCGAGTAGGCAGTTGTGGCCTACAGCCACATTTTGGCACTGAATCATGTCCTGTTTAGCATTGTTCACTAATTGTTTCAAGTTATTTCCCCTCTCTGAGATTCAATTTCCTAGCTAGTTGTAGCTTGGATGAGATCCTCTTTAAGCCCTGTCTAATTCTTCTCAGTTCTCTTTTCTGCTCCTATACCCCCATTTACATATAAAAACTCAGAAAATAGAAACAACTATGGAAAGCTAAGCAAATCCCTTATACAGAGCTCAGATTATCTCCAGTATGATATCCAGGCACAGTTTGGGGCCTCTGGCTGCTGCCCAGAACTCTCACCATTCTGGACCATCCTATTATAATACAAAGTCAATGTCTGTGACACTCAATCTCCACCCCTCAGCAAGCATCTGATGACAAGAGGAACTTCTGAGCTCAAGAGTTCAAGACTATCATTCAGAACAGTTCCACTAGAATAAGTTGGTTCAGAGAGTCGCTGAAATTGTCACACTTTGTGCTTAGTCTCAAGAACCATGCTTCTAAACTTTAGCTATGCATTAGAATCAGCCGGGGAGCTTTCAAAACAGCAGAGATCATAATTATATTCGGTTTAGGATGGGGCCTGGGCAGTGGTAATTTTTAAAAGATCCCCAGGCAATTGTAAGTGCATTCAAAATGGAGAATTATTGATTTAGGTCGGATACTGGAGTGTAATTATTGGGGCCCACCTCTGAGTTTCTGGACACACCTGCAATAACCCTGACAGGCTCTAAGTAGGACTGATGTTGGATGAATCAATGGATGAATGAACAGATAACTGTGAGATAATATAGTGGAAAGAGTGTTGGTCTAAAGGCCAGAAAACCATATTCCCATCCCTGGCCGAATCACTGTGTGAATACTGTACCAGCAATTATTTTCTCTGAGCCTCAATTTACTCTCTTATGAAAAGGGGATAATAATATCTGCTTTATGTGAAGATAGTGCATGTCAAAGTGCTTTGCATATGTGTACATTATATTGAGAAATTGTTAAAAATAAATCATAACAGCCATCCTAGCCTACTGTTTTTTTAAATAAAACCTGGAAATGTGAATTAATGCAGAAATTGACTGTAGGGTTGAAGTGGGAAGCAGACTCCACACTGCAGCCATGTGGTTCGTTTTCCCCTAGTTCAAGCCCAGTGTGATTACTGTTTTTGGGGATTGCTATAGGATATTTGTGCCCGCCACCAAATTCATATGTGGTAGCCTAATCCCCAATGTGATGGTATTTGGAGGTGGAGATTCTGGGGGATATTAATGCCCTTATAAAGAAGAGCTCCCTCTCCTCTTCCATCATATGAGGACACAGCAGAAGGCATCATCTATGAACCAGGAAGCAGGTTGTCATCAGACACAGAATCTGCCAACACCTTGATCTTGGACTTCTCAGCCACTAGAACTATGAGCAATACATTTTTGCTGTCTGTAAGCCACCCAGTTTATGATATTCTTTTTTGTTTTTCTTTCTTTTTTATTAATTTTTTTTTTTTTGACACGGAATCTTGCTCTGTTGCCCAGGCTAGAGTGCAATGGCATGATCTCGGCTCACTGCAAGTCTGCCTCCCAAGTTCAAGCCATTCTCCTGCCTCAGCCTCCTGAGTATTTAGGATTACAGGCACTCGCCACCACGCCTGGCTAATTTTTTGTATTTTTATTAGAGAGAGGGTTTTGCCATGCTGGCCAGGCTGGTCTCGAACTCCTGACCTCAGGTGATCTGCCTGCCTTGGCCTCCCAAAGTGCTGGGATTACAGGTGTGAGTCACCACGCCTGGGCTTTAAAAACTTTTTTTGAGATGGGATCTTGCTTTGTTACCCAGACTGCAGTACAGTGGTACAATCTCACCTCACAGCAACCTCCCTGTCCTGTGCTCAAACAGTCCTCCAGCCTCAGCCTCCCAAGTAGCTGGGACCACAGGAGCTGCCACCACCCCTGGCTATTTTTTATGTTTTTTGTAGAGATGAGGATTTCACCATGTTGCCCAGGCTGGTCTCCAACTCCTGGGCTCAAGTGATGCCCCCACCTTGGCCTCCGAAAATGCTGAGATTACAGGCATGGGCCACCACACCTGGCCTGGTTTATGGTATTCTATTGTAGCAGCCCTGATGAACCAAGACAGGGATCATGAAGCCATGGTGACTGACCAATGTCCCAATCCCTGCCAACCAACCTTGCACCTCAGGTCCCACTAGGGCCCCTCCCCGGCTGCCTTGTTGCCATCTCCCTGTTTCTCAGCACAGTGCTGGCTCAGAGTAGGCGATCATCAGTGGACGCATGAATGAGTGTCCTTGGATTTCTAACTCTGAGTGCAGCTTTAATACTTGCCTCTGTCTTTTCTGTTGTGGCAACTTTCTGGACCACCCATCTGACGACTTTGGAGTGGTTTCTGCTGACTCCTCAGTTTGGGTGTCCCCTACTGCCACCTGTGAGAAGCTCCCACTCTCCTGCCCCCAGCAATTTGGGTCCCCCACTAGTCAGACCAGTCTTGGCTCTTCATGAAGGGGTATGTGGAATTCAGACAAAACACATGGTGTTTGCCCAGGATCTTGCTGTTTTCATTTATGTTTTTAAATAACTTGTTTTTCTTATTATTGCAAAGTAACACATGTTTGAAAAAATTTGGAAAAACCAGGCATGCAAACATTAAGAAAGTACAAATCTTTCACAAATCCCTCAATCTAAGAGAATCACTGCTTAATGTTCTTAATTTTGTGTATCCACCACACATGCACACATTTATACATACATATTTAGAAAAATTGGGTCATCCTGTACTTAGCGATTTGTAACCTGCTTTTTCACTTAATAATGTTTCACTGCCTTGAAGAGTCATCTTGCCCTATTATTTACCTCGAGCCCCATGTGTCCACTTCTACTGCCATGAGTTGCTTACACTTATTTACTACAAACTGAGCAACATAAATTAGAACAGGACAAATCAATCAGGTGTGCAGGGCTTTTCTAGCTAACTGGTGCCTGGTAATGGGTGCTTTGACCAGTGGTGTCTACTCAGCGACAAACACTACATGTTATAAAATATTTGTTTCATCAAGAGCTCCGGGACTCAGGCTGTAACAGAAAGAACCAGATTACGGAGCAGCCATATCCTTAAAACTGCTATTGTTTCTACGAAACTGGAAAATTCCATTGCTATAGCCAATGTCAACAGGCAAGAAAGGAATGCAGGCATTCAAAGGAAGGGAAGAATTTGATGAACAGACTATGGGTAACTGGGCAACAATTCTGTGAAAATGACCAGAAGGCACCGGCTTCTGTCACTGGGGTCAGAAATGAGAGTCCAGGCATTGGCCCTCCCTGAAGCAGATAAGGTAGTAAGCCTGTAATATATGGTTGTGTAAAGAAGAAACCTAGGCTAGTGTTCTGGCAGTGATGGAACTAGCTAACAGCACCCCAGGAGCCCCCAGCCCTCCACTGGGGCCTTGTCCCCCAATCTTACAATGCTCCTTGGCCAAGTGCCCACGTGCCCACACCACAGGCCACCTCGAGATTCTTGCAGATGCTGTGCCTCAGAATGGGAAGCTTGATGGCTGCTGAGGGGAGGAGGTAGGGGCTTGCAGGGAGAGAGCTGGGATTCGGACTGAGAGAGAGTGAGTGGGTGTCACATGCATCACATGTCACACAAGGAGAGATTACATTCAGATCCCTTCTAGGTTCATACTTCCCACCAAAATTATTGCAGAACTCTCTGAACTGGGCCCCCTTGTTTCTTGATGCCTTTCTTCACTATCCATTAACCAAAATACCACCCACAGTGATTTTCAATTACCTATCTAATTAGATATTTCTTATTTAAAATGTTCTTTTCTTTTATTTATGGAAAGCAAGTAGTACCTGCACATTGTTTAAAAATCAAACACATCCAAAAGGTCCATAATGAAAAACATTAGTCTCTTGTCTCTGCTCCCCACCCACTCCCTAACTGTCTTGCCCCAGTTCTGGCTACCAAAGGTGACTACTCCTAAACATTTTCTTTTTTTTTTTTTTTGGCAGTTCTGGTGCTTAGCTTCATATTTCTAAAAATCATGCTTATATTGTTATTTCCTGACCCCTCAATTTTAAACTTTAAAATGTGTCCTTTTTATGTAGATGAGGATTTTAAAAAATATATAAACAGCTTTATTGAGGTATAAGGGACATAGAATAAACTGCATGTATTTAAAGTGTACAGTTTGGCCAGGAGTGGTGTCTTGCACCTGTAATCCCAGTACTTTTGGAGGCTGAGGTGGGAGGACCACTTGAGCCCGGGAGTTCGAGACCAGCCTGGGCAACATAATGCGACCCCATCTCTACAAAAAAATAAAAAATCAGCTGGGTAATTTGATACCCTGTCAGAAAGAAGAAAGAAAGAAAGAAAGAAAGAAAGAAAGAAAGAAAGAAAGAAAGAAAAAAGGATGAAAGAAAGGAAGAAGATTAAGAAAGAAATAAAGATTTTGTGCTAGAAAAAAAAAGAACAATGAATAAGCACACGAAAAGATACTAGCACTAGAGAAATGCAAACTAAAACCACATTAGAATAGCCAAAATTTAAAAACCTGACCATACCGAATGTTGGCAAAGATACAGAGGAACTGGAACTCTCACACTGCTAGTGGAAATACAAAATGATAGAGCTAATTTGGAAAACAGCTTGGCAGTTTCTTAAAAAGGTAAACATGCACTTATCATATGGTAGTGTATGATTCAGCTACTCCACTACTAGGTATTTACTCACTAGAAAAGAAAGCAGATGTCCATACAAAGACTTGTGCAGGAATATTCATAACAGCTTTATTTGTAATAGCTCAAAACTGGAAACAACCTAAATGCCCATTAAAGCTGAATGGATATACAAACTGTAGTATTAGGTTGGTGCAAAAGTCATCGCGGTTTTTGCCATTGAAAGTAATGGCAAAAACCGCGATGACTTTTGCACCAACCTAATATATCCATACAGTGGGCTACTATTCAACTACTTAATGATATAAAGGAATGAACTATTGATATATGCAACAACCTGGATGAATCTCAAAGTCATTATGTTGAGTGAAATAAGCCAGGTGAAAAGAGTACATACCATGTGATTCCATTACATAAAACTCTTAAAAATGCAAGCTAACCAATAGTGACAAAGAACAGATCAGGGGTTGCCTGGGAATGGTGGCAGGAAAGAAGTCAGAGGAGGGGGTGGCTAAGGGATGAGAAAACTTCTAGAGGTGATAGATATGTTCATGTTTTTGATTGTGGTGATGGTTTTGTGGGTGTACCTAAGACCAAATGTATCAAATCATATACTTTATTTATTTATATTAATTTTTACTGTTTTTAGAAACAGGGTCTTGCTCTGTAGCCCGAGCTGGAGTGCAGTGGTGTGATCATGGCTCACTGCAGTCTCAGACTCCTGGGTTCAAGTGATCCTCCTGCCTCAGCCTCCCAAGTAGCTGGGACCCCAGTCATGTGCCAACATGCTCGGCTAATTTTTTTTACTTTTTAATTGTTTGTAGAGATGAGGTTTCACCATGTTGCCCAGGCTGGTCTCAAACTCCTGGGCTCAAGCAGTTTGCCCACCTTGGCCTCCTAAGTGTTGGGATTACAGGTGTGAGCCATGGTGCCCAGCTCATTCTGCCCTTATATTGTTACATGATTATATTTATATTATATTGTTATATTTTATGACTATATATATTATTATTCAACCAAGGGGTCAAAATTAACATAACCAAAAATATTAATTATTGGTTAATGATATCAGTGTTAATGATATCAGATGCTGCCTGATGTGATGCATTCAAAAAGATACTACATTACAGTTGAAGTAGTCTTGCCTAAAATGCATAATTTAAATCGCATCGTAAGACAAAATCAGACATCACACAAGGGAAATTCTAAAACACAGCAAGCTTGTACTCTCCAAGAAAAGCCGATATCCAGAAGGACAAAGGAAAGCTGAAGAACTGTGACATTGGATTGTATCCAAGACAAGATGTTTCCCTGTTGAAAGGCCATATCTAGCTCTAGACTTTTCTGGACTGGGTAAGCCTTAGCGTCCAAGAGGTTCGGGGAAGAACATGGTGGCAGAAGTTTTTAGGCAGCAGTGGGTGGGAAATTCAATGAATTCTGGAATCATAGATCAGGAGGTAAATGACGTGGTGCCTAGGGTGAGGTATAGCGGGAAGGGGCATGGAGCTTTCGTGCCCTCTCTCGGCAGGCAATGCTCTGGGAGCCTCCACGTGTTCAGCTAGCCAGAAGTTCCTTATTCTTCTGTCTTCTTTGGTGAAGCTTCTATTCAAATATTTTGCCCACTTAAAAAATTGTGTTTTTTTTCTTTTCTTTTTTTTTTTTTTTTGAGACGGAGTCTCGCTCTGTCGCCCAGGCTGGAGTGCAGTGGCCCCATCTTGGCTCACTGCAAGCTCCGCCTTCTGGGTTCACGCCATTCTCCTGCCTCAGCCTCCCGAGTAGCTGGGACCACAGGTGCCCGCCACCACGCCCGGCTAATTTTTTGTACTTTTAGTAGAGATGGGGTTTCACCATGTTGGCCAGGATGGTCTCGATCTCCTGACCTCGTGATCCGCCCGTCTCGGCCTCCCAAAGTGCTGTGATTACAGGCATGAACCACCGTGCCTGGCCTGTTTTTTTCTTACTATTGAGTTTGGAGAGTTTGTCATACATTCTGTATACAAGCCCTTTATCAGATATGTAGTTTGCCAAGATTTTCTACGGGGCTTGTCTTTTCATTCTCTTAACAGTGTTTTTAAAAGAGCAGAAGTTTAAAAATTTATAAAGTGCAATTTATCAATTTGTGCTTTTTTGTGCTGCCTAAGAAAATGTTTGCCTAACCCAACTTCTTGAAGTTTTTCTTCTGTGTTTTTTTCTCAAAGTTTTATAATTTTAGCTTTTACATTTAGGTCTGAAATACATTTTGAATTGATTTTTATACATGGTGTGAGATATGGATCAGTTATTACATTTTTTTGCGTGTGGATATCGAGTTGTTCCAGATCTATTTGTTGAACAAACTGTCTTTCCTATACTAAATTGCCTTTGTATCTTTCTTGAAAATCTATGGTCCCTATATGTGTGGGACTATTTTTGGACTCTGTAATTCTGTATTCTGTTTCATTGGTCTTTTCATCTATCTTTACACCAATGCTAAACATATTTCATTACTGTCGCTTTATAGTAAGTCCGCAAATCAGGAAATATTAGTTCTCTAACTTTGTCTTTTTTGTTTTTCAAAGTTGTTTTGGCTCTTTTAAGTCCTTTGCATTTTCATTAAAATCAACATCAATTTCTACAAAGACTCCTGCTATGATTTTAATTGGTATTACATTGAATCTTTATATTAATTTGGGAAGAACTGACACATCAAAAAATATTAAGTCATGGAAAATCAAACCTGAAATATGGCCAAGCATGGTGGCTCACTCCTGTAATCCCAGCACTTTGGGAGGCTGAGGTGGGAGGATCACTTTAGCCCAAGAGTTCAAGACCAGCCTGGGCAACATAGTGAGACCTTGTCTCTATTTAAAAAACAAAACAAAACAAAAGCTGAAATACTCAGTTACAGAATTGCTTTTCTCTTATTTTCTAATATTTTTATAACATAGTTATATCAATAGATAGTATTTTCTAAGAATTTGCCATGTGCCAAGAACTGTGGAATATTTAGTTTAAATCTTACAAAATTCTACCAAGTTAATACTATTATTAGTTCTATGTCACAGATGAGGAAACTGAGAATCGGAGAGGTTAACGGCGTTGCTTCAGAACACATAGCTAGTAAATGGTGCAGCCAGACTTACTTTATATTGCTTTTATAGTTTTAAGACCAGACTCTGTAAATTGCCTTCATCTAAACCCTCAAAGCTAAGCTTTATTTGAACAAAATCCCACCAATTATACCTGTCCCTCCAGCTAGCTCCAGCTTTTACTAAATGAGATAACCAGTGGGAGAGAAGTTCATGGAATTGAGAGAAAAAACAAAACAAAACAAAACAGCTTCAAGTGAACCTGTAGCTCAGTCCCTGGACTGGCATTGCCTGTAGGGGTGGCCCCTTGGCCTGGGCATGGGACCTGAAATGTGGGAAGCTGGTTTCTTTTTCTTTTTCTTTTTTTCTCCTTTTTTTTTTTTTTTTGTACTTCAGAGACAACATTATTTTTGATTTTAGGAAAAAGAAAAAAAAGAAAAGAAGCTGTAGAGCAATGCTCTTTCCTCGCTAATGATGTCTATGTGAACGTCTATGGTTCACACTATCCCTGAGGTTTGTCACATCTGAACCTGAAAATCACTTCCTAGTTTGACTTTAACTCCATGAATCACCCCTCGTGCTCCATGGTCACCCCTCCAAACAAGACAGGGAGGCTGAAACTAAGAGGAAAATGACTTCTGGGGAGTCTCAGAAACAGAAACTTTTCATATTGAGAATGTAAATTCTCAATGTATAAAAAGTAAATTTGAATTAGACAGCACAATGTTGTTCCTTAAGGTTACTGGTGAACAGGAAGTGCAGCCTAAGGCCCAGCACGCAGAGATTCAGGAAAAAGAGAGAGTATTTCGGGGCTGTCAAAATTTTACATTACTTCAATTTTGATCTGCGTCAAAACACCCCTAAGGGGACAACAGGAAGATAGAATGGGAACTTTGGGTTCTGAAGTAATACGATTACTCCACAAATACTGTCTGGTACTTAGCTCTTGAGACCCAAGAGGTGTCTTCAGATTGAAAGGACTACACACCAAAAGGCAAGTTGGAACTGTTGCATATTTCAGGGGTAAAGAACAAAAGCATCACACATTGCTTCTGAAAATCAAATTAGAGAGGAGGGTGAGAGTGAGCTATGGAATTTCGTCATCATTTCTTATCTTCTCTGTTGAGAAGTAAATAACTAGGTCTTTCCTGATTCATCAGACTTTGAAACACACACACACATAAACCCTAAAAATCCTATCAGAGAGAAACTGAACGTGAGATAGGACGCAGCACATAAATAAAAGCAATTCTGCAAATGATGAAGAGATGGAAGACTCAGATAGCATGCACAGGAGTGTTTACTATGTAAGACAGACAGCTTTGGATCTAGATAAAGGAGATAGAGTAGTTATTGCCTGGGCTCAGCCATCGAGATAAAGGCTGGTGGGTACCCTGGGAAATTGCAAGCAAAATATTACAGCTCATGGAGGGTCTCTGCCCAAGAGCAGATAGGAATTCAGTAAAGCAATAACCTTGAGACTGTCACGTATCAGAGCCTGAGATGAAAATGGCCTGCCTGTAAGGTCGGGTCTGAGCGGCAGGAGGAAAACTGGCACCAGCAGAACATGGATTGGCCTATGGGCAGAATACAAGGGGGAGCAATAAAACAAAACGTTTCAAGGTAGGAAGAGATTGTTGGTGATGGACTGCTGGAAAGAGATTTGGGAAAACATTTTATTACTTTTGGATGCTGACAGCCAATGTATCATATCCAAGTTTCCTGATGGTGTAGTAATAACAAAGGCAAAGCAATAATAAAGGACAAGGCAATGAAATAAAAAAAGATTTATTTTATTTAGTTACTAGGGTTGGCAAAGGCACATGTGGTGCAATGCAAATAAATGGTGAAGTCCAGTGTGACAGGAAGAGAGGGGAAGTGTGAGAACCAAAGAGGAATGAGGAAAAACTAGGGGTTAGAATTTATCGTTTGGGCAAAGAATGAGAAAATTTTGTGAGACATTGGAAAATTGGAAGCATTCAGGGATCTTGATCCTTTTCTAGAGAAGAACCCTATTGTCCTTTATTATTATGTCAGTGAACACATGTGGGGGGTCTCTAAAGTCAAGGGGTCATCCACACAATGAGGGAACCCAATAATACCTCTGCCAAATACCACAGAGACCCCCAGCTTCTGAGATCCCCAAGCTTTGTGGTTCCTGGATAAGGAGACACAGGAACAGCAGTGTAGGATTTGGTATTGGCCTTTTTAATCCCTGGACATTGAACATGTGAGATTTTGCACAGACTTGAAACCTGCATAGATCTGACCTGGTGTTTTTCAGACTCTGCCCCTCACCTTCTCTGTATCTAGGTCTTTGCTGGAGGCCTGTGTATGATGAACCATGGCTTTCCTACCTAGGCTCCAAACCCAGTGCTTCTAATCCTGCCTTCCAGATTTTACACTCAGCTGATCCATTGGCATCCTATCCCAGGATCATCAATTCGGAATCTCCATCATGGTTGGGTGCGGTGGCTCGTGTTTATAATCCCAGTACATTGGGAGGCCACAGCAAGACCACTTGAGTCCAGGAGTTTGAGACCAGCCTGGGCAATGTGGTGGCTGTCTCTACAAAAAATAAGAAAAAAAATTAGCCTGGCATGGTGGCACGTGCCCATGGTGCCAGCTACTCAGGAGGCTGAGGTAGGAGGTTCTCTTGAGCCTAGGAAGTTGATGCTGCACTGAGCCAAGATCCTGCCACTGCACTCCAGCCTGGGTGACAGAGCAAGATCCTGTCTCAAAATAAATAAAGAATCTCCATCACCAATGAGTATTCACTGGGTGACCACAAGGTACAATAACTCCCCATATACACTCTGAGGTGGAAGAAAAAAAGACCAGTTTGGAAAAAGGATACATTTACAAACAGATAACTTCTCTCATACCCCACAGAAAGTCAATGACTTTCTCCTTTTATCTTCATCACCGCCAGCACCATTATTATCATCATCATCACCATCATCATGATACAAATAGATATTCCACTTGTAGCTCAACTAGGCTGAGAGCTTTATGTGTAATATGTTATTTAATCTTTCTCCCAATATTGCAAAGAAAGCACTATTTATCATCCCCTTTGTACAGATGAGGAAACTGTGGGTTAGTTTGCTCAAGGCTAAGCATCTGGGGAGTGCCACACCCAGCAGTCAAGTCTAGAGCCTGCCACCTTACTTATTAGCCTACACTCTTGCTTAAATCTTCTACTTCTCCTTATCGTCTTATTTTTCCTAGCTCAAACGTGAGTTCCCCTACAGGTTCGGGTGAGGTACATAGTAGGTGTTCAATAAATAACATTTGTTCAGTTTATTTGAAATGGACTCACTGATGCTCACAGCTGCATCTTGAATCTACTGGCCTTATGGAGCCTGCTTTGGAGGGTTTTATCTCCATCACTTCATCCTTTCTTTCTTTTTGAGATAGAGTCTTGCTCTGTCGCCTAGGCTGGATTGCAGTGGTGTGTGGATCCCTGACTTTTTTTTTTTTTTTTTTTTTTTTTTTTTTGAGACGGAGTCTCACTCTGTTGCCAGGCTGGAGTGCAGTGGCGCGATCTTGGCTCACTGCAACCTCCACCTCCCGGGTTCAAGCAATTCTCCTGCCTCAGCCTCCTGAGTAGCTGAGACTACAGGCACACACCACCACGCCCAGCTAATTTTTGTATTTTTAGTAGAGATGGGGTTTCACCATGTTGGCCAGGATGGTCTCGATCTCTTGACCTCGTGATCTGCCCGCCTTGGCCTCCCAAAGTGCTGGGATTATAGGCGTTAGCCACCGTGCTGGACCTGTGGATCCCTTCTTTCATCAGTTGAGATCCTCCAATCAGCTGGCCAGCTTTGAACTATGTGAAGAAACACATTTTCAAGCCTCAAGCCCTGGGCCACTGTGACCTAGTGTGTGGAGAAGCACAGAGCAAATTCTCATTATTGGCAGCTCAGTATTTTATCCACAGTGGACGGGGACATACAAGACTCCGAGGCACAGGCGGCTGCCAGCCTGACTCAGTGTCTTGGCACTCTTTATGATTGTCATGGAAAAGCTGAATCCAGAATGAACATCTGCCCAGGCTAGTCAGAGAAGAAACAGCTCTTGGTTAGCTAATTAATTGCTTTTTCATCTGCATCAGATGATTCCGTTTTAGTGCAGTGGCTTGACACAAGGGCCTGGGAGCCTGGATTCACTCTTTTCACATTTCCCAGGTGGCAATAGTAGGTCCTTGTACCTCCCAGCCCAGGTCCTACCCTGTCTGGATGGCGCCTTGAAGGAGAAAAGGACCTCACATTTGTCTAAGCTGACTTGTTCTTTCTTGAAAGAGTGACCATCTGAGCTGGAGGCCTTTATAGCCTACAGTTTTTGAGAGTGGGGCCCACATGTGCCTCTCACTTTAGTTCAGATGACTTCACCCATGATGTACCCAGCACCCACTGCATGTAATGATAGAACACGGGTTCTTCCAACCTAGTCTGATGTGTGTGTGTGTGTGTGTGTGTGTGTGTGTGTGTGTGTGTGTGTGTGTGTGCGCGCGCGCACATGCGTGATGTGAAAGGGGAGGGCAACGGATACGATTTATACATAGATGCAATAATGGAACAATTCAAAATAATGTATGTTCAAGGGCTAAATTGCTTAGTAGTTGTGCAGCTACAGGGAGAGACCAGTTATAGCCACAAAGTCCTTGGAGGATAAAAGAAATTTAGAGAAATGAAGAGGACCTTCCTGGAAGGACAAGATATACCGAGTGGTGGTGGTGGCGCTGAGAATCCTGAGTGTGAGGAGGGCTAGGCTTTGTATAGTATAGTCTGGGCAGTAAGAAGACTCGCTGTAATGGAGCCCAGGGTTCATGGTGGGGAACCCCATGTTTCCTCCTCCTAGCATTCTTCCAGAGCCTTCAAGGCATCACCGGCCCGTGTTCCAACGTCCCCTGCATACAGTTCTCTCAAGCTGCTTTTAACACTTGATTACCTTTAGCCCTTTATAACTGTGTTTCCCATTTTTAGACAGTAATCTCCTTGAAGCTGAGGACCATGACTTATTTGTCTTTGCCTGGCACAGAAAACATGATCCATAAATGTGTGTTGAATAAATGAATGAATAAACACTTCATTGGAGGGGAATTGAATGAATAGGCTGGTTCTAGAATGAAATATGCAGTTTGTGCCAGGCATTCTGACTCATTCTGCCTTCAGATGAACAGGGATGGCATTTTGGGCTTACATTAATTTATTCAATCATTTATGTACTCAAAAATTGTGTATTGAAAGCCTACTATGTTCTCGACACTAATATAGGAGCTGTTTTATCAACAGTGGTAAAACAGATAAACTCTTACTCAGGTGGAGCTGACATTCTTATAAGAAGGATAGATAGGCAGGGCACGTTGGCTTATGCCTATAATCCCAGCACTTTGGAAGGCCGATACAGGCGGATCACAAGGTCAGGAGATCGAGACCTCCCTGGCTAACACGGTGAAACCAAGTCTCTACTAAAAATACAAAAAAATTAGCTGGGCGTGGTGGTGGGAGCCTGTAGTCCCAGCTACTCGGGAGGCTGAGGCAGGAGAATGACATGAACCTGGGAGGCAGAGCTTGCAGTGAGCCCAGATCGCGCCACTGCACTCCAGCCTGGGCGACAGAGCAAGACTCTGTCTCAAAAAAAAAAAAAAAAAAAAAGGATAGATACTCAGGCCTGCTGGAGAATTAGTGAGGCTCCATGGAAAATGGAGATTTGGGGTCTTTTGTTCAAATAGCAGGAGAAGAGTGTTGTTAAAGGTACTAAAATATAAAGCTTTTTTGTTTGTTTTCTGCAGTTTCCCTCTCAACTTGTCATGGCATTTTAAAATTTGCTATATAAGATCCTTCTAAGAAAAATGATCATTTAAAAATTGTCACCATAAATTTTATCATTTATGTTTATGTTGTATAATGCCAGTTTTAAATATAGGCATAAGAGTGTTTAATGAAATTACAAAATTCATATTTTATAGCTCATACATGTGTATGGACTTAGTTTTTAGCAGAACAGTGAAAACTCTGCATAAAACTAATTCAATGATTTTTATTTCATTTCCTAATATATGACATCCTACCAACACCGCCTGCCTTTGGCATGCTGATGAGGGAAGAAGGTCTAAAAAGACTATGGGTTGCCCAATCTTTCCCTTTCCTTCTATGCCATTATTTTCGGTGTATGTGTATAATTGAGGCACTGACAGTCCCCCGAGGCAACATGAGAACTTGCTTCAAATGTAGAAAGAAAGTAATGGAGTTCTAAGGAACACAAATGACCACGGAATCCTATCATATCTTCTTTTTTTTTTTTTTTGAGACAGAGTCTTGCTCTGTCCCCCAGGCTGGAGTGCAGTGGTATGATCTTGGCTCACTGCAACCTCCACCTCCAAGGTTCAAGCAATTCTTGTGCCTCAGCCTCTGGAGTAGCT